>NC_000011.10:37029696-37181212 GCF_000001405.40 Homo sapiens | reverse complement strand
TAACATTCTTAAATATCTGCTAGCTGTAATAAGGAAATCAATGTACTTTATGTTCTTAGCTCCCACAATTTAGCCTAAATATTTGTCCTGGCATGTTTATACTAGTCCTAGCAAGCAATAGGTCATAGCCTGTTCCTCTTCCTTATTTGAAGGTGTTTTTACCTTTCTCAGCATTCCATAAGTTACCTCCTCCTTCCTTTGTTCTCCTCTGCCTTTGCCTCTTTTAAAAAGTTCTAAGTTGCTAGCCAGTCGGGACAAATATAGAATGCGAGGTCCCGTTCCAGCCAATGGAAACTGCACACAGTAGTAGGGTGGACACGTCAGATTATAAATGACCCTGTCTCCTTTGTTCGGTGTACTGTCATGGCAAAACTGCTGGTGAGTGTATCCTTTCTGCAGAAAGTATAAAAATGGCCTTGCTGAGAAAATTAAATTTATGTTCAAGTGCTATTTCTTTATGGCACCAGGGAACAAGCATTTCAAACACAGTGGAGTGTTCCCCCACCCTGGAAGATCATACTTCACCATTTTTGCCTCTTAACATGCATACCCAGGATGCTGCTTCTCCCTGGGGCCTGCATTCGGTTAACATTTTGTTGTTAACAAGTGTGGACCATTAGGAAATGGCCTCTTCTGGGAGCTGCTGAATTACAATTTTTAGACAGGGAATGCAATAATCGCTGAACCATCACCCAACAACCTTAGTGGGTGAGGGGGGAGAGCCCTCTCCTGCCCCACTCATGTCTAACTACCTGTAACAACATGACCCAAGATGACATAATCACAGGCTCTCCAGTGACTTTGCCTATTTTGGCAAAGGGATATTGTCTTCTCTGGAATCTCAAATTCTATAGCTGATTTAAGTTTGGAGTTTAGTGGCATTCTGTCCCAACCCCGGTAAGAACTTATTTCAGAAGGAAACCAGAATAAAGATAAAAAGTCTGGAGGGAAAAGACAGACAGGACTCACCAGTGACTTGTATCTCCTGAATCTAGCCATTGCCAAAATCTTACCCTTGCAAGTTTCTGTGAAATAACTGCACCATTTAAAATTAAATGATTTTTAATGGTAAATGATCAATAAGTTCTCCTTTTAGTTCAACTTAGAGATTGAATTTCTGACACTTATAATCAAAGTTTCTTCTGTGACACAGAGAAGAATCACCCTAATGAACTAGTCTCACTGAGATGAAGGTAGTAACCCCAGGGCAGGGCTCTAAATGCTGCCCTTTAGTTATTACAAAGCTAACATAAGTTTCTCAGGAAGTGTCTCCAGGTATTTCCACTAACCTTGGCTCAGCTTCAATCTCATTTGAAACTTCTTGGGCTTGGGCTCCAGTTGAGAGTCTAATGACTATGTTCCTATTATTATAAGCAGCAAAATCTCTTCTCACACGTTGCCATTGAGAGTTTTATTCACAGTTCACTGATGTTTATGCTGGGTGGTTGCCTCTTTTATGTATCTTGTATATATATTTTTATATTCATCTAGGAATCTTGATACTTAGGCTCCACACCATGTCTAAGAAGAATAAACACACTCTGCTCAGGAAATACATTTTGCTTTTCTTCCTTCCACCCTTACTCAAATAAATATAACTATTCTAATCAAAGATACTCACAGGCCTTAGCATAGAATAAAAATAAATACCTGGAAAACCATAAGGCAAATAGTCATTTTGCTTCAGGGAAAAAAGAACTAATCTTTGGCTGAATTTAGAAACCTGAAGAAGGGAAAATATTTATTCTGGATCCGACTTTATTCCAATTTCAATTATGCCTATTAAGTAGTCCCTCTACTGATAATTTATTGAATTGGCATACACAAATTGCCTGGCATATAGTAGTCATTGTTAAATAATAATTTACCTTTACTTCTCCTAATTCTCCATAACAGACAATGTATCCGTGTTAACAGAGAAACCAAACTCTGCAAAATGTTTTGCAGAAGTTTATTCTGAGCCAATATGAATGACCATGGCCTGGGGAACAGTTGCAAGAGGTCCTGAGAAGTGTAGTTGGGTTACAGTTTGGTTTTATACATTATAGGGAGACAGAATTACAGGCAAAGACATCAATCAATACATGGAAGGTATACATTGGTTTGCCCAAAAAGAGGTCATAAAAGTCATAGCTGGGTTCCAGGGATTCTTTGGTTGACAACTTTTTTAAGGAAGTTAAGCTATTGTCTAAAGACTTAAAGTCAGTAGAAAGGAATACTGGAGTTAGATAAACAGGTTGGCCAGGTGTGGTGCTCACACCTGTAATCCCAGCACTTTGTGAGGCTGATGTGAGAGGATCCCTTGAGCCCAGAAGTTCAAAAATAGCCTGGACAACAAACAAGACCTCATCTCTGCAAATTAGAAAAAGAAAATTAGTCGGGCATCATGTCATGTGCCTGTAGTCCCAGCTACTTGGGAGGCTGAGGCAGGAGAATTGCTTGAGCATGGGTAGTTGAGGCTGTAGTGAGGTGTGATCTTGCTACCACCCTCCAGCCTCGGCAACATAGTGAGAGCCTGCCTCAAAAATAAATAAATAAATAAGCAGGTTGTAGAGGCCACAGTTCTTTTTACCTTCATAGGTAGCAACCCTCAGAGAGAATGGATGGTAAATGTCTCTTTTCAGACTTTATTTTTATGTATTACTTTTTTTTTTTTTTTTTTTTTTTTAAGATATGGAGTCTCACTGTGTTGCCCAGGCTAGTCTTGAACTCCTGGGCTCAAGCAATCCTCCTGCATCAGCCTTGCAAAGTGCTAAGATTATAGGCATGAGCTACACCACACCTGGCCTTTCTTCAGAACTTTAAAGGTGTCAGACTTTCAGTTAATCTCTCCCAGATCCAGGAAAGGCCTAGAAAGGGAAAGCCTGGCTGCATGAATGAAGATTCTCTAAAGATGCAAATTCCCCCCACAAAAGACAGCTTTACAAATCCATTTCAAAACATGTCAAAGAAATACATTTTTGGGTAAAATATTTTTATTTCCTCCAGGATCTGCTATCTGTCATGTGATGCTATACCAGAGTCAGGTTAGAAAGTAAGCCACATTAGACTGGGTGAAATTCAAAACCCATTTAATGAGATTTTATGGTTTGTACATTGTGACAACCCTTACCTTTCATGGCCCTGGGTCTTATTTATAATTTGATATCTTATTGCCACAAAGAATCTGTTTTGTCAGTCTTATCTCTATTTTAACCTTAATACTTGTCAGTTGCGCTTCAAGTCCAAAAGGGAGGGATTAAAGTGAAGCATGTCTGACCATTCTTCCTGTCATTGTCATGGTTGAAAATGTAGTTTTTCAGGTTTCTCTGGGGTACTCTTGGCCAAGAGGAAGTCCATTCAGTCTGCTGGGGAGACTTAGGGTTTTATTTTTGGTTTACATCAGCAGAAGTTAGGTTATGACATGGTAACAAATCTCCTTAAATCTCAATAACTTACAACAAAATAAAATTCCACATGGAAAGTTTATGTCCATCTGAGATCTGATGCTGATAGAGCAGCCTCTAACTGGGACATTCCTAGTATTGTGGCAGAACTTGACAACCCATACCCTGGTGATTAAAAACTGCCACTCCCATTTTGTTAATCAATGAAGAGGGGAACTTAATCCTTCCCCAGGAAAAGCAGCAAATATTTTGGAATAATAATGTAGTCTACTCCGTGTGAGGAGATATTTGCCCATGCCCTAGCAGTAATCAACAGGAGTCATGGAAAAAAACAGAACACAACAGTAAAAGTTCAGTGATCCTGTTATCTAAAAGAGAGGATCTGGCCTGTAGGCAAGTAAGACATTCTGAAGATTTCAGTGGACCCTTCTTTTGTTTGAGCCCATCTTTCTTTGGCAAAGAACACAGCAGCAATGATTTATTGGTTAAAATGATACCATGAAGAAGGCATACAGAAAACTGTGCTGAATTACAGACATCCTCAATGACAATCCATTTATGGTCTTACTAGGACTTTTCTAAAGCTGAAAAATTGGAGATTGCAGATGATTAAAAAGGTTATTCTCTTTTCAGTGCATTTTCCACATACAAGTTCATCATCTTCCTTACTAAGATCCTATAATTATTTTAATGTCCAAGAGAAAAGTAGAAGAGAGAAAATACTTCTTTTATTTGTTGGTAGATTTTTTTCAATAAGAAAAAATATCTAGGCCAGGCACAGTGCCTCACGCCTGTAATCCCAGAACTGTGGGAGACCCAGGCTGGTGAATCACTTGAAACCAGGAGTTTGAGACCAACCTGGGCAACATATCAGACCCTGTCTATTCAAACAAACAAATAAATAAAAATAGAAACAAAACAACTATGTTCACTTAGTTTTAGTTTTTTTCTTTTTTCAATACAAGTAATAATTTCTTAGTATTCTCTTGCTTTTGTAATACGGAGCATCCTTATTAAATAAGAATCAGCTTCCTTCAGAAAGCAAATTATTTCAATAGTGGAGAGCAATATGAGTTTCATTTATAAAACCCAAAGGAAGAAAATAGAAAAGCACTTGATCCAGCATTTCAATACTCTTAATGATTGCATTGACAACATTTTCAAACTAAACCACTGGACAGAATGATTCATTAGGATGCCAAAAGTCATTGATTCCGGGACACTGATTTGGAGCGTTACTGGGTACTTGGTATATTTTGTAGCCAATCTGTTCATGCACAGATTTCTATATAGCCTTACTCCATAAAACTCACATCAGAATTCTACTTGGCATTTAGTCAATTCCTTTTCCAAAACATGCCAGCTGATTCTTAGGAAAGTTTGAATAAAATGCTATAGTAAGGGGAAAAGTAAAATAACTTGCAATAAGATCCTAATATGTTATAAGAGGAAAAGATATGGGCCCAGGATCTCTAAGGCATATTGGGGACAATTGGTTTTATTTAGTGCAGAAGTGCCTTTTAGTTGTCTCTTTTGAAGTGACTATAATACAATAATTTATTTGGGATGGGTCAAATAAACTAACAGGATAAACAAAATTGGTATGATAAATACTCTTACATGTCTCATCATGCCAATAAACATCCTAGCATGATGAATTACAAGCATTATATCACAAGGAGGCTGGCTAGATTAGCTTCACAAGCTTATTTAAAATGTGTTACTTTAACAAAGTGAAAAGGAACAAGTGAATAAAAATTCTCCCCAGAAGCCATTATAAATAATTCATGCAAAATATTTTTTTAAATTGGTACAAAATTCACTTTAAAGTGGGTGCAATTTTTTCCTACTATACCTCCTATTTCCAAAATTAGCCTGTATTCTGGGACCACACCAAGTATACAGATATCTGAAAGAAGGTAATATAGTGCTATTTCCATTTATGAAGGGCATGTATCCCTTTTGGCTTCAAAAACTTTATCATCAATAGGGGCAAGGATCTTATTTTATACTGTAGGGGCAAAAAGGTAGTATCTTTTCCTCACCCATTGCAAGGTACATGGCTGACGCCCTTATAACAGAAGTTACATCAGCAAGAGAAAACCATAACAAATTCATTTAACTAAAGTTTTATGGGGCACAGGAGTAGACCATATATTTTTATGCTTAGGTTCCACATAGTGTGGAATGATGTGTAGAAGTTTAATGAGACAAAAGGGGTATGATCTAATGGTAATAAACTGAGAGGGGAACCCAGCAAAACCTGTTTGTTCAAATTCTTCTTGGCCTCTCTGTGTCACATTCCTTCCTCAAGGTATGGGGCAGGATACCTGTTACATGAGGGTCTTCAAGAGAAAAGGGAGAGGGTCAGAGAGTGACATTTCTAGGTTTTATTGCTGGCTTGGAGAAGAGGAGTTCTAGTGTATATGGTTCCCCTGGGGAAGAAGAATTCTAGCTTTGATAACTTGTTTCAGAGGAGAAATGGAGGAAGGAGAAAAGAGGGTGGATGAAGGTCAGAGAGCACTTATTGCTTCTGAGGTTCTTCCAACATCCTTCAGTTCAAGGTACTCAGCATGCCAAAGCACCATACTTTGAGTATCATTGTCTGAACCCCAACAATGCCTTCACTGTAAAAATGGAAATGGTGCTGTACTGAGGAAGTGGGCTGTCCTCAGCACACTCACAATTCCCTTAATCTAAATCTGATCTAGTTTTTGGATTGAATCCTAGTTACGCTTGTCTGAGTTAGAAGAATTCAATTTTTATTCCAGCTCTTCTAATTCAGTCATTCAACATTGAGACCATCACTTAAAACTGTCAGAGTTTTACTTCCTCTTTGGTATAAAGAGAGGAATTCTTTATTCCAACTTTCATCTCTGGCAATCTGTAATTAATATAGTAAATAAAATTGAGATATCTTTGCATACATAGCAACTGTATGGCTGCATTACAATTGATTTACCCTTCCTATTGTTGCACTAATAAAGCCAAAGCATATAGACAATGCTGTTATGTGAAAGAAGTTTTCTTCTTCCTACTCCGGTCTGGTGGTTGGGGTCTGCAAAATAACTGACAATAAACAAAGTAACAAAAGAAAAAACAAGATTTACATATATGTTCATGTACAATAAGTAAGTAAAGGTTTATACTTATATATCAACTCAAAGGGGGGACTTTTACGGTTTCAATGGGAGAGTATGAAAGGTTCTATTGGGCTTTTTAATGCTAATGGAAATGGGCATTCTGTCTCCAAAGCAGCTGAATTTTTAGGAAATTCCCTACATTAGTCCATTTTCACAGTGCTTTAAAAAAACTACTTGAGACTGGGTAATTTATAAAGAAAAGAATTTTAATTGACTCACAGTTCCACACAGCTGGGGAGGCCTCAGGAAACTTATAATCATGGCAGAAGGCAAAGGGGAAGCAAGGCACATCTTACATAGGGGCAGGAGAGAGAGAGCAAGGGGGGGAAGTGCCACACTTTCAAACCATCAGATCTTGTGAGAATTCACTATCATGAAAACAGCATGGGAGCAATCTGCCCCCATCATTCAATCACCTCCCACCAGGTTCCTACCCTGACATGTGGGGATTATAATTGTAGATGAGATCTCGATGGAGACACAGAGGCAAACCATATCACTTTCTTAGAAAGGTGTGATTGCCAATTGGTATTTTCAGGAGAATAGGCTTTAGCCAGATAAGGGGAAAGTTCAGGTAACTTTTTTTTCCAGCATCTTTTGTAGCTCAGACATTTTCACTTAAATAACCTTTCTGCCAACTCTGGGGACCTAAGTCTCTCCCCACAACTTTACTTCTGCAGATTTATAGAATCACACCTGTCTTTACTTTCTCTTCCAGAAGGAGTGACCATAAACATGGTCTACTGCTGGAGGGAAGATTTTTATTTTTTATAGAGCCTTTTGCTTGGACTTTCATTTGCATTTAAAAGAGAGATCTGCTAGTCCGTGTTTGTGATTTAGAGATAATTATATAGCATGTGGCCACATTAAGTTTGGAGAATTTTTCTCTTAAAGTCACTTTCAGAAAATAAGCAAAAGCCTAAGATTTTAAAAAATTATTATTACAATAAGATTTTTAGTCCTTATATATTTGTCTTGGACAAATTTACAAATACGTATGACTGTGTGTGTGTGTGTGTGTGTGTGTGACTATTCTTTAAGTTGCCCAAGGTTGGTCTTCTCAGTACAATTTCAATACTTTAAATTTCATCTTTGTATCTTCAAGGTTGGTGATTTTGCCAATTTAGATTTATTCCTAGGTCACTGTAAACTTGAAACTTAAAGAACATCAAAGCTTTTATTTTCCATTTCATTTTTCTTTCCTCTAGGCCATAGATGAAGATCTTCCAACCTTTAATGAATAGCTCATTTGTCCTTATACTGACCGAGTTTTACTATCTTTTTAATCCAATAGTTGATATATGAAGCTGAAGCCATCTCCAATCTTGTAGAATGATGCAGGAATCCTAGCTGACAGTTAAAATTTAGGTCTCCCTGCAAGATGCAACACAAAAGCAAACTAAATTGATAAAGTTCTTCACTTTTAGGAATTCAGAACTTAAACCTGTGAAATAAAAATGAAATTCTAAGTCCCCCAAACAAGTGAATGGACCATATCTTGGTCACAGGGACCCCAGAGAAACCTTGGAAGTTGAGTTCCCAGCCATGACAGGACAACGGGTTGACAAGCCTTTTTGTAACCCCTCCCTTGCTAACCATCATTAGGCTTTCTTCCCTAAGGGCTAAGCAGAAACCAGCCTTTCCAAAAGACTCCACCACCGATACCAACCAACCACCTGACACTGCTCCACCCTTTTGTGTTTTGACAAAACAACCATTCAGCATTCTTTCCTGATAGAGACCGCCTACCACTGAGTGGTTCTGGCTAGTCTACTGAGGATGCAGAGTGAGGGTTTTCTTTTCCTCTGCTTCACCTTTTGACATCAGAGGACCAAAACCTCCACCCTCAGATCATGCTAACACTGCTATTATTTTTACATGGGACCCATGGAGGGGCCTGAAACTCAATTGCACATGTGCATGTTTTCTTTTCATAAATATTCATGTCTTCTCCAATAGCTTACTGAATATGTATATATGGCTATCTCATTCAACATAAATTCCTTCTTCTTCTTCCCGTCCTCAAAGTATCTTTTTCTGGCGCCCTTCCACAGACTATGCTTCCAGCCTGTCAGAATGGCCACCCTGCAGGCTTCTGCTTAGCTGATTTTCTTTTCCTTTTTTTTTTTTTTCTGAGACAGAGTCTTGCCCTGTCAACAACTAGAGTGCAGTGATATAATCACTGCTCACTGCAGCCTCAATTTTTCTACTCACTGCAGCCTCAATTTTTTAGGCTCAAGCAGTTCTCCTATCTCAGCCTCCCAAGTAGCTAGGACTACAGGTGTGTATCACTGTGCCTGGTTAATTTTTTTTTAATTTATTTCCTTTGAAGAGGTAGGGTCTCACTATTCTCAGGCTGGTCTTGAACTCCTGGGTTAAGCAATCCTCCTGCCTCAACCTCCTGAAGTGCTGGGATTACAGGCATGAGCCACCATGTCTGGCCAGATTAGCTGATTTTTTATACAAAATTATTGCTGTGTTTTGATCCTAAATATTCAAGGAAACATGGAATACATTATTCCAAACAAGGAAACATTTTTCATATGGTCAGTGGTTCTTAACCAGGGGCAATTTTTTACTTGCAAGGACAACTGACAATATCTGGAGGCTTATTTGTGTACCCCAACTGGGCAGGTGCTACAGGGATCTGGGTAGAGGCCAGCAATGCTACTTATTAAACATTGTAGGAGACTGGAATATGCCACGCCAGAATATGAAGAATGGTTGAGGTAAAGGCAATTGAGAAACAGATGAAGGACATCTTTCTCCTCCCTTGCTCTATTTGTCTGACAAGGACATATACATTTACAAAGACAAAAGGTATTCTCCCCCCAACTCTTTCTGCCAGGAAGAGCAAGGTTAACCACTGAAGTAAACTTTGGACCCTTATCATCTGAATATGATACCAGAGGAATCTATATTAACAAGCCTCACTACATAGTCCTTATCTGTCGTTATTTGCCTTCCCACAAGTTGCTGCCCTGAGATACCGAAAATACTTTTACTTTTTGTTGTCACTTCTCCAAAAATTTACTGTACTTTGTTGAAGATGTTATACAGCTGGTGTTCAAAGTCATCTCTTTGAGAATGACTCATTCCCTGGGTATCTCCCATGTACATATGAAATACACATGTTAATAAGCTTCTGTTTTGCTGTTGTTGTTGTTGTTAATCTGTCTTTAGTCACAGGGGTCCATTCCAACTAAGAACCTATCAGAATTGAAAAAAATTATATTTTTCCCCCTACAATATTCTACAATGCAAAACACAGTCCCCCCTCTTCCAACCACACGCACACACACACACAAATAATTATCAGGCTCAAAACAGGAAACCACACACAGATTGAAAAACATGGCTTGGTCTATAGACCCCTGCATAGTGGGTGCTCTATGTTTAACTTTACCAGAAAATATATTCAAATAGATTAAAAAATTAGGAGAGATTTAGGTAAACAGTGATTTATTCTTTGTTTAAGAAACAAAAATAGACAAAACAAAACAAAATAAAGACCCTTCTTTTAGGGATTAACTATATGATTTTTGCTAACATGAGTTTACCCACATACTAAGATAAGTGGCCCACTAATCCTGAGCTGGCAATTAAGTCCTAGATCTTCTATCTGATGAAACAGAAGACAATTAAAGCCAAAATCTGAATCATAAAAGCGTGTTGTTGGTGTTACACAATTTATATCCATATGAAGTAACATAACCCTTCAAAAGAGAAACACAGCTAACAGTACCAAATTTTCACCCAATAGACACACATGAAATATTGGTTACGCTTCTAAAGGTTGTATTTCCCTTCTAAAATCATATTTATGAATAAGTAAAACTTCAGGATATTAGCTGAATCAGGCTTCTGCCCAAATGAAATATTACAGTTGATTCATTCTCCTTCACAATGAAAAGTATAAGTTATTATCTTTCTAAAGTAAAAAATCTAAAGATGTTACTCCTTCAATATAAAAAGCCACTGTTTCCCTAAGAGACCCTTCACAAAATAATTCCAAATGAGTTCCTCAAACTTATATTTCTCTTTTTTCTATTACCTGTGATCCAGTCACAAAGGGTTTTTGCTCTGTTGTTCTTCACCAAGTGTTGCTTGCCCTTTCAAGATTTCCTGCCTTTATACATTTTAATGTGAATATAATCTTGTCCTAAACAACTTTGGATGCCATGTTTCTGCTCACACATCATCAATTACAGAAAGTTTTCCAAACCTAGCCCTCTTATTTCCCTTCAAATGCACTAAGTAATGTTTTCTTCAATTTTTTAAACCTGTACCACTTGATCATCATCAAAAACTGGTACTATAACTATTTATCCACATATTCTTGATGGGTTTTATTCATTGTTGTATCCCTAACATGCAAGTATGACACATAGTGGATGCCAGCTTACTGTGTTTGCTGAATACGTGTTTATATAAAGGAATTGATTTTGTGACAAGAATTTCAATTACTATAATTTGATTTTGATTAAGGCATTTTATAAACTCACTACACATGAATAAGGTTATTGATTTGGTGGTAGAAATTTAAATGTTTTCAATGAACAAACATCCACCAAATAATTATGTAATCATTAATAAAAATATTGATATTCGTTTGAAAACACCTAAGACATGTTCGACACTTGGTGCTATAAAAATCTGAATGTTTATGTCTTTCTAAAATTCAGGTATTCACACCTAATCACCCATCTGATGGTGTTAGAAAGTGGGATGGGAGATGATTAAGTCATGAAGCCAGAGCCCTCATGAATGGAATTAGTGTCCTTGTGAAAGAGGCCCCAGAAGCTCCTTTGCCACTTTCATCAAGTGAAGTTAGAGCAGGAAGATGGCCTTTTATGAACAAAGAAACTGGTTCTCTCCAGACACTGATTCTAGCAGCAACTTGCTCTTGGAATTCCTTGCCTCCAGAATAATAATAAATAAACTTCTGTTACTTATAAGGTACCCAGTTTTTGTTATAAGGTACCTATGTTTTTGTTATAGAAGTCGAAATGAACTGAGAGAAAAGTCTTATCCAGAAGTGGAGCACTTCTGTAACAGATACCTAAAATGTAGAAGTGGCTTTGGAATTGGGTTATGGGTAAAGGCTGGAAGAATTTTAAGGTTCACACTAGAAAAAGCATACATTGCTGTGAACAAACGATAAAGGACAATTTTGGTGATGGCTCAGAATATTAGAAGAGCTATGGAGAAAGCCTCAGTCTTTTTAGAGAATACCTAAGTAGTCATAATCAAAATGTCGGTAGCAATATAGACATTAAAGGCCATGCTGATGAGGTCTCAGATGGAAATGAGGGATACATTATTGGAAAATGGAGGAAAGGCAATTGTTGTTATAAAGTAATAAAGAACTCAGCTGAAATTTATATGTGTCCTAGTGTTTTATGGAAGGTAGAACTTGGGATCAATGAAATTGGATATTTGGTCAAGGAAATTTTTAAGCACAGCATTGAAGGGTATAGCTTGGTTTCTCTTGAGTAGTTATGTAAAACACAAGAAGAGAAATAACAATGACAGCATTGTTAATCAAAAGGAAACAGAATTTGAAAATTAAGAAAATACTTATCCTATTCATATTAAAAGGAACAGAAAAGCACGTTTAAGAGAGAAGCGTGTGACCAAATGACACTCATTGATGAGTATGAATCTACCATATCAAGAGAAGCTTTTCATCAAGACAATGGAACAATGAGGATGAAGGAATTTTGGAGATTATCAGGGCTTCTGGCCTATCACAGAATGATTTTGAAGGAGGAGTTATGGGCCCCTGCAGAACCTCAGTGCTCTCTGTGTGACACCATAGCAAGAATATGCTCATCACATTACAATGCTGGGCTCCTCAGCTGCCACAGGTACAGCACAATTCACTGTGGCTGCCTCTGTAGAGAGTACAGGTTGTAAACCTTGGTGGTGTCCACACAGTGCCATCTCTGCTGGTACACAAGAGTACATGAGCTGTAGGGCATGGCTGCCTCCAAACAGATTTCAAAGGATGCCCTAGAGACCCACAGGGCCCCAGCAGAGAACCACCAAGGAAGTGGACCTGCTGCAGGGAGTCCCTACTTGGGCAATGTCCAGCAGAGCTCTGAGGATGGGTTTGCCTTAAGGATCTCAGACCAGTAGGCCCATAAGAGGACAATTCCAGCCCAGGATAGCCATGGGTACATTACCTAGGCATAGAGTTGTGGTGTTGGTGGGGCTACTTTAGGCCTGGATGGCAGAACCTCGTGACAAAGAATATTATTCTCTTCTTAAGATTTTGAACTTGTATAGGATTGTTACCCCTTTCTTCTTTTCTGTTTATCCCTTTTGGAATGAAAATATCTAGCCTATGCCTGACCTACTGAGGCAGGATTGTTCCCTTGACCTTGACCTCCTTCGTGGGTGGGAAGTGGAGTGGCTCGTTTCACTCAGCCTGCCACTGGCCACTTCTTGCGAGAGGGAATGTGTGAGCAAGTGAGTGCGGGAACTGGAGGGAACGAACGCAGGAAATGGCTTGTCGCTCCTCTCTGGCAGAAGCAGGCTCTGTCCAGGCTCCACAGCAATGTCCAAGCCTTTGCCCTTTCAACTCCTGGGTTCTTGTCCAACGTCCAGGAAGAATCAGGTCACACAAACAGTTTGAAGGATAGTGTATGCAGAGGACTTTACTGGCCAATGGAAGTGGCTCTATGGGGAGTTGGAAAGGGGATCTGAAGTTAGCCATGTCTATCCGTAGTCTCTAACACTCAGTTTCTTCTCTGCTCACTGCTCAGCCACTTGTATTGCTCTGGCAGCTCAAGTATTTTTTATGGGCACAGGATAGGGGCATGGCAGGCCAAAAAGTCAACATCTGGGCAGAAAAACGGGGACAGCTATTTTCACTTAGGGCAGTTCCAGGCTTCAGGGTGGGGTTTAGCCAGGAGCCCAGCTGTTCTGTATCACTACCATTGTATTTTTGAAGCACATAGCATGTTTTATTTCATAAGTTCTCAGTTACAGTGCAATTTGCTTCATGATGAATTGTTATGTTGAGTTTCACCTATATTTAATTTAGAGGCTATTAAGATGAGACACTGGACTTGACATTAAAGTTAATGCTGGAAGGAGCTAAGATTTTTAAGGATATAAGGATGGTATTAATATGTTTTGCATGAGAGGACATAAATTTGGAGGGAGTCTGAATGGTTGTGTCCCCCATCAAAATCCATATGCTAAAACCTAATCACCAATGTGATGGTCTAAGAGATGGGTTGTTTGGTAGGCGATTAGTTCATGGGGGCAGAGCCCTCATGAATGGGATTAGTGTCTTTCAAAAGAAGCCTGAGAGAGCTGCCTTGCCTCCTTCTACCAAGTGAGAAGTCACCATCTATTAACCAGAAAATGGGCCTTCACTAGGTATTGAATCTGCTGGTCCTTGGATGTTGAACTTCCCAGATTCCAAAACTATCAGAAATAAATTTCTGTAGCTTATAAACTACTCAGTTCATGGCATTTTGTGGTGGTTGCACAAATAGGCTAAGAAACTTGGCAATTCTAAGAGTGTAAAATATGATCCTGATGTTAAGAACCCTATGGTCAAGTTTAAATACAAGGCAGGTTCAGAACGGGAAATAAAAAATAAATAAAATAATCCAGGGTTTATTACTTTCTGGCAAACATTAGTGCTCAAAAAATTTTATCTTAATAATGATAACAATGATAGCAGTGATAATTTTCTAAGCATCAACTGAGCTATAAAGACATTAAAGATCTTCCAGGCATTAAAGGGGAAAGATCATATGGACAGGAGCAGTATGGCAAGTGTTCATGAAAAGAAATACAGGAACCAGATAATTTGGAAATGGAGAGAAGATATTGTCCATAGGTAGTTGGCATTCGGACAAAGGTGTATAAGTAAGAAAATGATCATTGTCTAGGAAAGTAGTAGTTAGGAAATATTAGAGAACAATAGGTAAAGTCTAGGTTGTATTAATAGGATATTTTAAATGTCTGGTCTCAAAGTTTGATTTTTGTTCTGAATGTTATTGTGAACCACCAGAAGTTTATGAGTAGGAAGAATAACATTGAAAGGAGTGCTCTGAATGAGCCTTGCAACTATGTCCTGGGGAAAGGTGTTGGTTCGAAGAGAGATAAGCAAATAACTAGTTAGAAGATTACTTAAGTATGAATTAAATAATACAGTACTATTTGAGCAAATATTACTTATCTTTGCAAATAATTCTAGCCAAAGAAAAATATTAGTATGTGGTCAACTTCCCAAGAGAGTCTATAATTTTTTAAGAAGGGAGATTTAAATACAAGAAATAGACCTAGAATGATAAATGAGATAGAATATAATGTGATAATATCCTTAACAAAAGTGATACACATAGTAACAGAAACAGATAAAAGAAAGAGAACATGAGAGTTATAAGGGAAGACATCATGAAAAAAGTGACATTTAAGTTTGTTCTAAAATAATAACAACATTTAGGTGGCCAAAAAGGAATATAAAAAAGACATTTCGATGGAAACACATTATAAGCTAAAGTATGGAGATATGAATGAGTATAGCTTGTGCTTGGGACAATAAGCATAAAATGAGTGCTTGATGAATCTATGCAGAGGTTAAGAGATGGGCGGATAAATTAATAACGCCTAATTAGGTATCCAAATGGAATAGCAGATCAAGTTGTGTTCATTATCGAACTCTCTACTCCATGCCAGGCATTGGTTAATATTTCCAGATGTGGGTTTGTTTAGTGCTCATAACATTCCCGTGAAGTCGATATCATCCCCTACCTAGAGATGCAGAAACTGAGGCTTGTAAAGCTTGAGTTAGAAAACAGGAATTTGACAAATATTTTTAAGCCCCCATTATGTGGCATAGAGTGCCAGAGTTATTGATAGTCAATATTTGAATTCACAACTGTTTCACTCCAAAGACCTTGCACTCTCACCATCCCATGTTGCCACTGTCCATTGGACAACCCAAAGCCCATCTAGAGTTTTGAATAAGTGAGTGGCAGGAGGCAACTACAATTGAAATTTCAAGTTCACACTAATTATCACATCCTCATGTTGCCTAACAATGTTTTCCAGCTCTATGTTAATGTAGTGTCCCTTTTATTGCATCCTTTAAAAGTCTTTCTTAGTCATAAAAAGTAGTTTCTAAAACTGGAGTTATAAATGGGGCCATAAGCTGGTGCTTTGCAATTCAGATGAAATCATTAGAAGGCAGCACTGACATCCTATCTTACACTCCTCATGTGGAGGGTGGCTCAGACTCTGCAGGCTACAAACCTGAGCTGAGACATATCAGAAAGAGCAAGTTAGTGGGCTACATTGCAGACTTCAGAGAAAGAAAGTCACATCACATCATCTCACAGCTATGTGTAGAAAACCATAATGGGCTTAAGTGAGATTTAAACTAACTGGACACATGCTTGAAGTGACAATTATAAAGACCTTCAAGCAAACAAGAAAATTAGGCCAGAAAAGAAGCTATGTCTAAAACTTCCTATTAAAAAAATGACTTCTTGCTCTTTCTGCATACACACACACATACACACACATACACACACCCTAACACACACACAAATCCCAACATACACATTCCAACATACAAGCACACACTCACATACAAACACAGCAATATAAACACAGATGCCAACATACAGACACACATACTAACACACACCCACACACAAACACCAACATACACATATGCACCAACATACATACGCTCATACACACATACACTAACATGCTTGTGCACACATATAAACACCCATCACTTGCCGCTGATTTAGCTGCAAAAATTATGCCTTACAGGAAGACTATTTTTTTTTAAATTTTTTAATTTTTTTTTTTTTGAGACAGGATCTTGCTCTGTCATCCAGGCTAGAGTGCAGTAGTGCAATCATGGCTCACTGCAGCCTCAAACTTCTAGGTTCAGGTGATCTTCCTGTCTCAGCCTTCTGAGTAGTTGAGATTACAAGCATGTGCCACTGTGCCTGGCTAACTTTTTTATTTTAATTTTTTTGTAGAGATGAGATCTCAGTATGTTGCCCAGGGTGGTCTCAAACTCCTGGGCTCAAGCAATTCTCCTGCCTTGGCTTCCGAAAGTGCTGTGATTATGGGTGTGAGCCACCACACCTGGCTGAGAAAGATGATTTTAAAATGCATGTACTACTTAATTTCAGGCAATCCAATTACAACAACCACAGAGTCTTAGACAAAAAACTACATCAGTTTAATATGCAGCAAAATTATTTACTTATTTAATTGAATCTTCATGGAATATTTGCCTCCAGAGTTGAAGTTAAGCAACTAAATGTTGTGGAACGAATATAAGAACTACAGTCTAAACGGAGTTCTAGTAACCACTTACCATTTACTACTAATAGAACTTTAGAAAGTTCTATATTATCTCACTCTAAGTTTTATTGCCTACAAAATGATGTAATATCTACTACATTGCATGGTTTTTGTGAACAATAATCAAGATCAAGTAAAGTGACTAGTCCGGCGTCTACCATAAATAGAGGGTATTCAATGAATACTAAGCCCATTAACCTTGTATGTGGTTGTCTTGTTTGGGATCCCTGAGAGGTGGACCCTTAGACACAGATTCAAGTGTAAGCAGTTGTTTGGGAGGTGATGGTAGGGAAAGGGAGAAGGGATGCAGAGAATGAGGCTGATAAAGAATGAGTCATCCAGCCACAGGGCTTTGGGAAACTAAAGCTCAATTTCACTGTGGAAATCTGGGTGACAAAGTAGAAAGTGCCTTAAATTATACCAAAAGAGAAGTAAAGAAGCTGGGCTGTACCTACTCCCCATCTTTTCTGGGCAAAGGGGTGCCTAGTGTGGTACAACTCTCTGTCATTTCTGCCTTGTCATACACGCTTGCCTAGGGTGCTCCCCTTGGCCAAAAAAAAAACAAAAAGTTCTCAAGCACAGACAGCAGCATAAGTTCACAGTAAATGACCCTCAGAGTTGAGGGAGGTAACGGCCAAGAGGATGTGGAGAACATCAACAACATCTACTAAAAGAATATATAGAAAAAATATTTTTAAAAAATCCTCTTTTCCAAGATTTACCAAGATTCAGTCCTCATCCCTTTGACTCTTCTAAATGCCATAGGAACAGTAACCCTGAGGGTTTCATTTCCTGATTTATCCCAAGCTTCCTGTACATAGAAGGTATTTCACAGGTATTTTGATACATTTTATAATATATACTACTTATTCTTTACTTCTTAAGGAAAGTGATGCAGATACATTATTTACATATTATTTCTTTTGATCTTCATTATTTCTCTATTTTCCTTACTTAATGGAGGACAGAAACAAATGAAAGAAATTAGAAAAATATACTATATATCTGACTCCTGAATCCATGAGCTTAATTACCATCATATCACCTTCCTCCTCACTCTCACACCTTTGCAGACCTCCTTCACTTCCTCCTTCTCTTTAGATGTCACGGCATGCCTTCAAATTCTCTCTAAAGTGAAGCCCTTTTCCTCTGTCACAAACTTCTGCTTATGTCAAGGGTATCAGACTCAGATCCTCTGAGTCATCCCTGATGCTGCTCAACCTCCTCACTACAATATTCACATGTATATGTATTAGTGCATGCTACCTGCCCTTTAATTGATTCCCTGCTATGTGCTAACAAGATATATGACTTGGATCTTATGAAGAATCCTCTTATGAATACTTGTGAAAGTGCACATGTTAATCTGGACATACATATCTTGAGAGAAACAACAGTTAAAGACCACAAATGAGGTACACAAGTAATGCTATATGCAAAAATAAGATGATAAGATTATAAAATTTTCCAAATGTTTCTGTGACTCCCTTTCTTCTCCTGCAGAAGACCCACTATTTCAAAGTACAATTCCATCTTAAAGAGAAGAAGAATCTGGCCTTTTTTTTTTTTTTTTTTTGCATATGTTGGCTGTTAATGACCCCCTTGGAATCACAGTGAGTAGCTGGAGGTAAGGTTATTCATTACTGCTTTAGTGCTGGCTAGAACTGCAAAAGTTCTTAGGAAAGTTTAAGACAAAGTCTGTAATTTTGCCCGTTTCTTCTCAGGCTTAGATGCTGGCGGAACATATTTTTTAAGGCTTTGTGATAATTCCGTAATTGGGAATTTCAGATCTAAAAAAGTCTTTTAAATCCTAAAGACACGAAAATATACAAAGTAACTACTTATATCTCAGATGGAGACAATGTCATCAAGATGAGGCTAATGGTGACAATACCATGTTGTACTGGTTGAGCACTTATATCCACAAAAAACAGCTATCTATTGTCTCCTATGAAATGCGAATAGCTAGGCATGGTGGATGCAGAGAGAATGAGATGCTCAGAGACATATCCTGGAGGAAGTGAAAGAAGGGAATGCATAGTGATCTCATGTCCTAGATGGAGTTTGAAGCACAAATGGAAATTTTCCAGGTGAACCGCTGACTCTCTCGGCCACTCAGAAGTCATAGAATTATGCATGAGATCTGATGGACTCTGCTTAAACAAAGGAGGTCATGAATCTGCTGACCATGATAGAGGTCTTAATTCCAAGGTCTAATTCTCTGTCTAGGAATTTGTGCCGTTTTCTCTAAAATGATGATCAAATGGCTCTTAATAATAGTAAGTATATGATCTATTGATAGAGAATAAGGAAAATCATCCCACATCAAAATGCCCCAGTCAGTCCTAACATGCCTCAGTATTAAGAAATAAATGAAATACACCTTAAGCCAGGCATTCGCTTAAACAAAACAATTGCCAGACAAGCCTCTAGACCCCCATATTCCTTCAAATCATTTATATTCATCCCAAATGAAACCATGAGGTGCTTATTTCTGTAGCCCACTGAACTGCAAAGCTTCTACTACAAGGACAGCTTAATTCATATTTATTGTCTTGGAACCTATTCTACGCTTTTATTTTTCCTTTTTTTTTTTAACTTTTTAAAGAAATAAAGCCTTACTGTGTTGCCCAGCCTGAACTTGAACTCCTGGGTTCAAGTTGTTCTCCCACCTCAGTCTCTTGAGCAGCCAGGACTACAGGTGAGTACCACCTGGACTGGCGATTTCCTTTTTAAACATTAAAAGCTATTGCACACAAAATGACAGTTACAGAGACAAATATATCATATGTTCTTTTGCCTACCAATAAAATTAACAAGGCTAGCCTTCTAATATATTGGCTCCAGATATTTTTAGATAAATGAAACATAGATCCAGTTGAAGTCCCCTTCACAGCTCTGCCCCATAAAATTACCTCCTTCCCTCTTCGGAGGCATAACTGTTTTGAAGTCTGTGTGCATTCCCCCTGTCTTTTCTATATATTTTTATATTTATAATTGAGATTTAATTATTTTGTCTATTTTTGACTATTTGTACATCTTATTTAAAAGGGACACAGGAAAGTATCATTACACAGCTTGCCTTTTTTCACTTGACTCTATATTTGGGGACCTATCCAAGTAGATACATTTGGATCTTGTTATCATTTTATCTGATAAACAGTATCCCATCCTGTGGATTTCCCAGCATGAAAAACCTATTCCCATAATAATGTTGATATGGTTTAGATGTGTTATCTTGGTCAGTTCTCATGTTGAAATGTGACCTCCAATGTTGGAAGTGGGCCTACTGGGAAGTCTTTGGGTCATGGGGGTGGATCCCTAGTGAATGGCTCAAGACCCTCCCCATAGTGATAAGAGAATTCTCATTCGATGAGTTTATGTAAAAGCTGGTTGTTTAAAAGAGTCTGGTATGACCTCCTCTCTCTCTCTTGCTCCCTCTCTCACCGTGTAACATGCCTGCTCCCTCTCTACTTTCTGCCATTATTGTAAGCTTTCTGAGGCCTCACCAGAAGCTGAGTAGATGTTGGTGCTACGCTTGTACAGCCTGCAGAACCATGAGCCAAATAAACTTCCTTTCTTTATAAATTACCCAGCCTCAGGTATTCCTTTATAACAATGTAAAATGGGTTATCACAGAAGTACATTACTGATAAGGCGTAATTTTCTATTAAAGGTGTTGCTTCCTTTTTTGTCCTTCTCATTCTTAGGTAAGAATCCTGTCTGTATATATCATTTAGCATAGATAATACATGTTTGCTCACAGTTATCTACTGCATAGAAACTAGAGGATGAAAATTTAAAACCCAGATCTATCTATAGCTACTTATGTTAATATGGATTTGTCATATTCCTATTTTTACCACAGTTTTCTCATCAGCAAAATTAACTGGAATGTTGGGAATAAACCTACAACATTCATAAAAGTCACTTTCCCATTCATTATCATGCACTACTCTGCTGGGCCGGTGGGCATAAGATTTCAGAACCAATAAAGCAGAAGTGTGTGAAAATGAACAGTGTTTTTAGATAAAATTTTATGGCCCCATTAATGGTTAGAAAATGAAGACTTCTAGGCTTGTTGTTATTTACACTTTAAATAATATAGACAGCTATATCATGCACGGGTGGAATGGAATACAATTCAAAGGGTGATAGAACATACCCCATCTTCACCCCAAACAAGCACCCCACAATACCCACCACCTCACCTCCCATCAGCTCTCCAGAAATCTGAGTTTGTCTTTTCCTAAAGGAATGTTCAGTTATGTCTTGGTGGCAAAATGGAGTCATGAGATAGTGATAGGGTTGCAAGGAAAGATTACACCATTTCAGTAAAATCTTGTTGCCTCTGATAGCTTCCCTCCACACCTGTGTGATCTGCCTCCTTGCTTCTTCAGTCCCATGTCCACTGTCAAAAATTGTATCTTCTTCTAGTATTGGTTTTCTTTTTCAGTACATCAAGCTTCTTTCCAAGACAAAGGTTTTGCTTTTGGCTGATTTGGTCGACCCCACTGAATCATGCAAATAAGAGGTGAAATGTTCTCTCAGCCTGGAACATTTTTCCCCTGCTCTTCTCCCAGTCAATTCCTACTCATCTTTTCAATCTTAGAAACTAAACTTAAAACTAAGCTAATCTTTCAAATCTTAAAAACTAAACTTAAAAACCAAACTTAAAAACCAGACCAGAAGTCTAAATTACCCAACTTCAAAACATTTTATGCTCATTAGTAGCACTTAGTGCAACTTTAAATAAATAGTTTTAGTGGAATGATTTGATGTCTTTTTTATGCAATTCTGTGCTGTGTCTGTCTTTTTAAAAATGTTTTTAATTTAATAAAATACGTTTTAGGGTCTGTCTTTGTTGTCCAGGCTGTCCTCAAACTCCTGGGCTCAAGAGATTTTTCCACTTCGGCCTCCCTAGTAGCTGGGATTACAAGTGCACACCACCATGTCTTGCTCTGTATATTTCTTTATTGCGCTGCCTAGCACAGTGCAGAGAACAGTGCAGAGCAAGCCAGTAGATGCTCAATGAATTTTCACTGAAACTGTGAAAGAAACTGCCCTTGAAATGCTGGTCCTATAGTGAACATAGTAGAAAATTATGTGAAAAAGTACAAAAAGAAACCAACTTAACATTCTTTGTTTCTAGATGCAGCTTCTATGAAATGGTGGACTGAAAATTCACTGTCCTCACTCTTCCCTGCTATTTCTTTTTGGATTGATCATTGGGTGATGCCCAAGATTTTTCGTTTCAAATAAAAATGAGTTTGTTTTGTTATTTCTTCAATACATTTTCAAAATTAGAAGGAGAGGAAAATTAATGAATGTGTCAAATTCCATCCAGAGTGTGTTTTGTTCTATGCTATTTCTAGTCTCCAGCCTTTTGTCTTTTTCTCTCTTGCTACTATTCAGTTGTCACAAAAGCAACACGATTTCTCTTGGCACCATTATGTATCTGACTCTTATTAACTCAATATAGACATCTGAATTTGTGTTAACTCAGCTAAGAAAACCAAACGCATGCATGTATGTAGATAGACACACACGCAGAGTGTGTATGTGAATGAGAAAGAGAGAGTTTGCCACTGATAGGGCTTCTATTTTAGATTTCCAAGCTTACAAGACAGTTGTTTTTACAAGTTTTTGTTTTCCTCTCCACTTTTCCAGAGGAAAGGTTCTGACCAATGTGTAATCTCTTTTATACCAGCAGCAGAAAAACTCAGTTCTAAGCTCTATGAAATAGTATGATTGACTTTAGCATAAAGGGTCAAAAAAAACCTCACTATAAAAAGTGATTCAGAACTTTATGCATCTGTGATTTTCTACCGCATAAGTTAATAATTAGGTCATTTGTTCTCAAATGTTTGCGTGTATCAGAATCACCTGCAGTGCCTATTAAAATGCAGATTGCCGGGCCACACACTCAGAGTTTCTGATTCAGCATGTCTGAGGAGGGGCCAGAGACTGCCTTTCTGCTTAGGTTCTCAGGAGATGCTGTTAGTCCTTCAGGTTTACACATCGAAAGCAGCTGTATTAAGTAGTTCACAGATAGACATGTTGTTGGGACAAGTGAGCCGTATACTTAAGGTTCATGTTCTCAAAGAAGATCCCTTTGCAATGACAGAGATGGCCATTCTTGATGAACTGCTTAGTAGGATGAACAGAATTCTGGCAATGCTTGACTGAGGACCTGGGAAAATACATAACCCTACCCCACCCAGGAGAGTGGCTTTTAGTTATCAAATATTGCTTTGGAAAGTTTTGTGTGTTTTTTTGCCATTTAATAGCCCTATGAACCAGGACAAAATTTGTTTTCCTTTCTGTGCCTCAGTTTCTCAGGTATAAAGTAGAGATAAAAAGATCTATTATCAGCAATTGTAAATTTTCATAAAATAATATGGTAAAGAACTCCACATGCTACATGGAGTACAGTAAGTGAAAACAAATCTTAGTTCCCTTCTCTTACTGAAGATTCATATTGGATAATTCTTAGGACATGTATTTCAGCTTTTTCTTTTGGATACATTCAAGTAAGATAATATTCCAAAAGTGATTCCCCAGATTGGCAATCAATCTGGGCAGGTAAGAAAGGAAAAAGGCTTGGAATCTATTTGTGAAGTTGGCCCCATTGAATCATGCAAATAAGAGGTGGAATTGTTTTCAAGGACAAGATGAGGGAAGAAGGGGGACTCCATTACTGGCTTTAGATGTCAACACTATCCCAGAAGCAAGGAGGGCAATTAATAAATAAACCTTGAAATTATTGGAAACGTTGTCTCTGTGGCTAGTAATGTAGGCAGGCTATGTATTTATACCAATATTCCCAGATGGTGTCTTCACAATCTCATAGGAAACAAATGTAGCTTTGGAGAAATAAGCAAGGTACTAAAGAATAGTCTTCCTGTCCTCTGAGGAAGTCATGTAGCCTGTAAAGACAGTCTCTGTTCAATGCTGGAGTCTCCTCATTAGGACTAGTTCTGCCATTTAACTAATTAAGATGAATTATGGAAATACGTTTTTTTTTTCCTGGATTCCAGAATTCTTGGTGCAGAAAAGCAGCTCCTAAAATAATATTTATATAATTCATTGAATTTATACTGGCCTCTAGAAGAAAATCTTCATGAAAATAAAAATTTTAAAAAACCCACACACAGGTTCATTCACTGCAAAGCCATAGGGGTAGAATCTAGACTCATGAGATTTTGAATTGCTTTAAATAATTAATATAAAATCTAAATTTAAAATTTCTTTCATATTACCCTAGGTAGCCCTTTTCTTTTGGAATGTTTTATTTCTGAATTGGCATGTCACATTATAATGAATCATGGTCTTACAGTAATGCCACAAAAAGACCTGCACTTGGCTGAGGAAAAAGCTCCTCAATTAAATTAGAAAGTAAATTAAAATCTTTAAATTGATCAAAATTAAAAGAGGTAGTAGAAGATAATAAGAGATACTCAATAAAGATTCAAAGCCTATGTTAGGTAGAGAAATATGTACTATAATTGTACAGACTGAGTTCAAACCTAGTTCCCTGTTTATTAACTATGCAACTAGAACATATGCTTAACTTTTTGGGTCAACTTACTAATCATCACAGTGGTTTACAGAACACAGCTAATAAAATGAATGGCACATAATTTGTGATCTATGTTTTCCCTTTTTCCTAGTATCCTCAAAATTCTGGTAGGATTAAGCTAATTTGTGATATGGAGTGATTTAAAAAATGCTCAAAGATTTACCATATGTAATTTCAATGGTGTTCAGATAAAATTTTGTCTACTTACACTAAATATAAGGTAACTTTTCAAACCCCAGCTGAGTTGAATGTAAAATTGCACTCTAACTGCTTATCAGTAAGTAACTTTTCCAGTATTACCATTTTCCTATAAATAACTGTTCTTCAGGGAAACCAAAATATATCATCTAAAAGTAATCAGTGACAGAAAGAGAGAAATTGTTTTTTTAAAAAAAGGGAAAATGACAAACTCATTAATGGCATTACATCCGGTAATTATTTGAAACTGCTTTATCAGTTTGAATTCATAAATCTAATGGGGAAAGGATCAGAGTAAACAAGAATTTAAAATCTTATCTCTGCCTTCTCCAGAGTGCAGAGAACTTGCCCATAAATTCTTAATCAATATTCAAAAGGAAGAATTAAAGTAAATTCTGTTTTTCTTCCACGTAGGATTTAGCCTGGCTTATTACTGGATTTCCAATCATAGTCACATGACAAGATTTAAAAAAAATTTTTTTTTGGTGACTCAATTCATCAGCCATTGTGATAGACCTTATTTTTCTTCTTTTTAATATTTTATAGTAGAGATTTAGGTGAATAAGTAGAAAAAATGAAATGGTCTTATTTCTTATTGTCCATATCAGTCATTTTACTTATGGTCTAGATGATTTCTGCAACAATAATATCTCATAATGCAATCCCAGAAGCCTATCCAATCACTTTAATGAATTTCCACCAAGTATGAAAAATAATGCCCTTTATGATTAATTTAACAGTCAGAGATATAGTTGTCTGGATTTCTCTCCTAAACTGGCTGGTGTAGCAGCTTCAAATTCCCTCATATAATGAGAAAAAAAATGGAATTAAGCTTGAGAGCCTTGAGCCATATAATGGTTAAATCATATTTCTCTGTTTTTCAAATCATGTGTCTATATTTCTGCAATATAATAACAACGGAACTCGGGAAAGAGATAGCTAATAAATGAAGGAATATTATGAGATATTAACTACAATTCTCTTTAAAGGTCATCTTTAGATGAGAAAGTATAATGCTCTATTAATATTGCTTGTCATTTTAGGACTGGGCATCATTTTCTTAGAGAAATATAACCCCAGATGTCACTTTTCCTCTCTCTCTCTCTCACACACAAAACAGATTAACATCTGACAAAGTGTTAATCTTGAGAAATGCCTTGCCTTGTAATGGATTTTTAAAAAGAAAAAAATCATTCTGAATGAGGAAAAATGTTCTATTTTAAGTTACCAAATTTAGCTCATTTCTCTTTCTTTGGTTGTCTCTGGTTGCTTAATCTCTGAAGAAGCTTTTTCAGATCTTTTCATCATAAAACAAGGTGTAACCACATCTTTGTCTTTAGAATAAATGAGAGTCACATAGTTATATTTTTTAGAAGTTATACAAATGAAGGAAAATCCTTAAGATCTAACGTATTTATAATCAACCAGTTTAACAATTTATTACTTTAAAATTTTATTATATTTAATAAAGTTGATGCTAAATATGTTAAAAGAAGAAATGAGTAAAATTTCATGAATGTGTTCTATTAGATAAAATAATGCTGGAAAATACAATGTCAAATTATTTGAATCCCATCTATTGGAGAGGGATACTAATATTACTGGTTTGAGTTAGGCAGAGTTAGAATAATTTTAACCTAAATTTATCTGATTTCTAATTCAGTGTGATGCCTCTACACAGCATTGCCTTTGGACTTATGCAAATATTTTTTAGCTGAAAACTGGAACGTCAGACATGTATTAACCAATTTACGTATGCTAATTTATTATGCAAAATGATATGAAACAGAGTATATTTTTATTTCTATTTTATGAATGAGAAACCTGAAACTCAAGAAATTTGAAAGTTGAATCACTGTCCTCCAAGTTCATAGAGGTCTTGGTAGAGCTGAACTGTGAACCCAAGTATATCAGACACTAACGTCTGTGTTATTAATCACAGTGTTCTCCTGCTGGCCAATCTGAACAGAGCTGAGCTGAAAACATTGGTTTACAGAAATGTGAGTCCACTTTCATAACCGAGGAAGAGAGGCTGAACTTCAGGCTGCTTTGGCCAGAAGGTGCTGAGACTGGAATTCAGTCCTTGATTTGAGTAATGCCAACCTGAGCTCAGAGTCTTCATTCCTGCTATAGTGGAGATCGTCACTCAAATCCAGTAATGAGGGAAGAAACTTTAACTTATTGAGCAAATGACTCTGTTGGGACTTTTTTTAAAAATGTGCAAATAGGAATATTCTGGAGAGAAGCAACCCAGTTGGGAATTGTTCAATTCTTGTATACCATGCCTCTTAGCACAAATTCATGTCACCCTCACATTGACAGACATTACTGAGGGCTCAACTGGAGCAGCTATAGCTAATGACTCACCTACAGCTGGAGGAAGCCTGCTCTACACAAAGCACATAAAGACTTTTTACCAACAGAACCCTCCACAAGGCCCCTCAAGGGGGCTATTCAAGGCTGTAACCTTGAAGAGACCATCTTTGTAGTCAACTGGATGTGATCATGATTGACAAAATGCACACACCATTAATTTCAAATGTGATACTTTGTGTTATAAAAACATATATATTGGATTTTAAGACATTCGCACTCTGATTACAAATATAAAAAAATTGTTATAAAAGTTGGAGAAAAACAGAAAAGCATGAATAGGAAAAGAAAGCCACATCATCTGCATATAACAACTGCTAGTAAGTTGATACCTATCTTTCCTGTATATGTGTTCATCTATGTGTGTGTACAAGTATGTTTGTTAATAGCCCCATAAAAGTTGAATCATATTTACACATTTGATTGAAACTTCATTTTTCAATGAATTAATATATTGGCAATATTTTTAAATATTCTCTTACAAAATAATTTTATTGTTATTTATCACTTATATTAAAAAATACATAAGTAGCAATACATTGATATTTAGACAATATTATTTTTATATAGTGGTAAGTAATATATCATTTTTATCTAATAATTTTGTAAGTATTAAACAATATATTATTTACTATTTCCCTTAGTGTTGAACATATAAACTATTTTTTATTATGTAAAATAATGCTCTATGAACACTCTGGTAAACAGAATTTTATGGATGTCCATAAATATGTCTTCTTACAATTACATTTTTCATATTTTAGTCTGGCTCAGAGTAGATACCTGATAAACACATATATACTCCTATTAAATTGTGAATGTAATACATAATATTAAGACAATAATCTAAGAACTGTTTGTGTCACATTTGGTGCAAAGACCACAGACCCCTCAAGGAACTATACCTGATTATTCTTAGGCTCACTCAAAATTTAATAATAACTTAGTTTCTTTGATGTTCATGATTGCCTACATCCTGTTCACTAACACTAGTTTCCTGGTATATTTACATAGCTTCTTAGCATTCATCTGTGTGCCTCATTCACACCTTCCTTCTAAAAAAAATCACACCTCACTTGAGAACCTTTTTTTCTTCCTTTTCTCCATTTTAACATTTTAAATAAAATTGTCTATTTTCATCAGGTACTGATTCTATGCTTAATTAGCCAGTAGATTTGTACTTAATTGAGGTGTTAATATGTGACTAGCACTGTAATGTATAGCATGAAAAAATACTACATTAGTATAGTTCTGTGTGAGTTGAATATATGGTGGTCTCTGTCATCAAATAATTGACATGTGTTAGGCAATATGATGGCTCAGATTTCAGATTAAGAGGGAGATAAACAGCATAGGCTAAAGTAATTGAAAAACAGTCATAAAAGTGCTAGGACTTGATAAAATCTTGGAAAAAAATGAGTGAAATTTGAAGGAAAAAAAAGAAGACCATGTCAGACCAAAGGAAAAACTTAAGGAAAGGCACTATAAATGACCATATTTATAGATTTAAGATACTCTGTTAGGGAGTAGTAAGGAAGTATTCACTATGTAGAATGGAGTCCAAGTCTAGAGAGTTCTCAAAAGAAAATTTGAGGGCAAGTAGAAGGGGTCATATGATAAAATATATTTCAGTGACTCTCATAAGCCAAAGTGGTGTTTCTCCAAAGCTTCCATTTCTTGGAACACATAGAAAATGGCATTTGTACAGCATGGCATGGAGAGGAAATGATGAAGATATGCATGGACGGAGGTGATAGTCCTGGGGGGTCCAGCTGCTCAGGCCCATCTGCTTGCCCTAAAGACAGAGGGGATGAATAGTCTCAGCATATCCGAATCATCAAATCAGGAGAAGCTCCTGTGGAAGCTCTGGACTAGAACATACTAAACAGTCTAAGGTTGGTCCAAATTTGTGTGCTCCTATTCTCAAGGGATAAACTTTAATAAAATAGAGAATTTGGGGTAATAAAATTGTGGACATAAAGGATGTCTCTGATAGATGATCAGAGATGATGGATTTTGTTTTGTCAATTGAGCTTTTAGCAAACTTTAAAACAAATGCTACCAGTCTTGTTCAGTATTTTTTAGTATAGAGACTTCTTTTTACACCATATATTGTCTATGTAACTTGTCATGTAGTCAGATGGTTTTCTGTGGAAGTAGTCAATGATATAGGCATGGATAAATTGAGTGATTGGTTAATGTGATCACTCAATGTGATCTCTGATCCAAAAATGTGGAAGCAAAAAATATGTTCATGTCAGGGTTATGATAAGATCACTAATGCTATCAGTAGAACAAAATCTATTCATCCATTACATGGAATCTAGCAAATTCTTGAGCAGTCTCTGTCATACTAAGAATTCCATAATAAAATTCAACGGGAATTTTCAGAATCTCATCTTAACCCTTTATCTTAAATATGTGGAAAAACAGAATCAATGAGGTGACGTTATATTTTCAAAGTGACCGAGTGAATATAATATCCAAGACAGAGCTAGAAATCAAGTTTCTTTATTCCTGTCCAAGACCCTTGATGGAATACCACACTGACCTATGGGCAATTTTATGTAAATATTAGAATACAATTTAGTCAGGTCCCAAAAGTTTTGGCAAGTCATCACATTCCCAAAGGTTTAGCTGAAGCCAGTATAATTTCACTCTTCTTTCTTTATCAGGTTCTATAAGAATAAAAGCAAAATATATCAGCTAGCTATCACTGTGTTACAAACCAACCCAAAAATAATAGTTAGAAACAACTATTTATTTAGCTCATACTTTTGTGTGTCAGTAACTTGGATGGAGCTCAAATGGGTGGTTTTTCTCATTCTAGGTGTAGTTACTTATGTATCTGTGATCAGGTACTGGGTCAGCTGGAGGCTGATTGATCCAAGATGGCTCAGCTAGACTGGCTCATCTTCGTCCCACGTGGTCATTTATCCTTCAGCAGACTAGACTGACTCTAATAACATAGAGACTGGGCTGAATTCCCAGGGAGATAGTGAAAGCATCCAAGACTTCTTATGGCTTAGGCACATAACTAGCACAATATCATTTTTATTGCAACTTGTTGAATAGAGCAAGGCATAAGACTAGCTGGTATTCAAATGGAGGATAATAGATTCTACATCTTAATGACAGGTGATGTAAGTCAGATGTTAAGGGCATGGATACACAGAGATGAAGATCAGGGCCTCTTTGCAAACAATTTCCACGAAGAGAAGAGATTTTCATAAATTTCTTGCTGCATTTGCAACATTGGAAATAAGGTGGATTAGAAGTTGAAACCAGCGCTTCCATTCCATATTAACCTAAGCCTCACGACAAAAGGATCAATATCCTTAAATGTATACCTCAAGTATAAAAACAGACTGGGAAAAATTATTTTTGATGAAAAACTATATCAGCAATATTTGCAATTGTGAATAGACATTAAAACCAACAAAGGACTAATGGAAGTAAAAATATCTGAGACATATTCTTCCTACATGTTTGCCCACATCTTTCCAGTCTGCTTTGCTGATTGCATTTTCGCCACCAGTCCTGCAAAGTTTGGCTGCCATAGGAGTCTGTCCATGGAATTTTCTCCTTTGTCTTTGTACTCTCAAACTAGATGTCATCAATCCCATCACCTTCAATATCACAAATATGCTGATGGCTGTCAAATTTAATTTGCCATTGAGAGCTTTCTTCTAAACTCCAGATTTTTAAGCAACTGCCTAACCTACATTTCCATTATCCATTCAAATTCTTCATGCCCTAATCTACTGAATTGTTTGTACTAAAATAAAATACTTTCCAAACTCTTTAAAATCAAGATTAATGGTACTACTAGTATCCATCCAATGTTCAGGTAAAAACTAGTTGTTTCCCCAATTCCTTATAGTCATCTAATAATTTTCTTGTTTAGTTTCTAATTCCAAAATACATGTCAAATGTGACCACAGTGTTCAGTCCAACCAACATTGCCTCTTATCTGCAGTAGCCTCCTGCTGTTCTCCTGGCTCCTATAGCCTATCCTCTACAGAGCAGTCAGAATAAGCTTTTAAGAAAGTACAATAGACTATGTCACCATGCCCGGGTAATTTTCGTATTTTTAGTAGAGAAGGGGTTTCACCATGTTGGACAGGCTGGTCTCGAACTCCTGAACTCAAGTGATCTACCCACCTCTGCCTCCCAAAGTATTGGGATTACAGGTGTGAGACACCATGCCCAGCCCTATTTATCAATTTATCTGTCAATGGACATTTGGTCTTCTTTCTGTCTTTTGGCTATTGTGAATAATGCTGCTGTGATTACTGGTGTACAAATAGCTGTTAGAATCCCTGCTTTCTTTTTTTTTCTTCTTTTTTTTATTATACTTTAAGTTTTAGGATACATGGGCACAACGTGCAGGTTTGGTACATATGTATACATGTGCCATGTTGGTGTGCTGCACCCAGTAACTCATCATTTTACATTAGGTATATCTCCTAATGCTATCCCTCCCCCATCCCCCCATCCCACAACAGGCCCCAGTGTGTGATGTTCCCCTTCCTGTGTCCATGTGTTCTCATTGCTCAATTCCCACCTATGAGTGAGAATATGCGGTGTTTAGTTTTTTTGTCCTTGTGATAGTTTGCTGAGAATGATGGTTTCCAGCTTCACCCATGTCCCTACAAAGGACATGAACTCATCATTTTTTATGGCTGCATAGTATTCCATTGTGTATATGAGCCACATTTTCTTAATCCAGTCTATCATTGTTGGACATTTGGCTTAGTTCCAAGTCTTTGCTATTGTGAATAGTGCCACAATAAACATACGTGTGCATGTGTCTTTATAGGAGCATGATTTATAATCGTTTGGGTATATACCCAGTAATGGGATTGCTGGGTCAAATGGTATTCCTACTTCTAGATCCCTGAGGAATCGCCACACTGACTTCCACAATGGTTGAACTAATTTACAGTCCCACCAACAGTGTAAAAGTGTTCCTATCTCTCCACATCCTCTCCAGCACCTGTCATTTCCTGACTTTTTAATGATCGCCATTCTAACTGGGGTGAGATGGTATCTCATTGTGGTTTTGATTTGCATTTCTCTGATGGCCAGTGATGATGAGCATTTTTTCATCTGTCTTTTGGCTGCATAAATGTCTTCTTTTGAGAAGTGTGTGTTCATATCTTTCACCCACTTGTTGATGGGGTTGTTTGTTTTTTTCTGTAAATTTGTTTGAGTTCATTGTAGATTCTGGATATTAGCCCTTTGTCAGATGAGTAGATTGCAAAAATTTTCTCCCATTCTGTAGGTTGCCTGTTCAGTCTGATGGTAGTTTCTTTTGCTGTGCAGAAACTCTTTAGTTCAATTGGATCCCATTTGTCAATTTTGGCTTTTGTTGCCATTGCTTTTGGTGTTTTAGACATGAAGTCCTAGCCCATGCCTATGTCCTGAATGGTATTGCCTAGGTTTTCTTCTAGGGTTTTTATGGTTTTAGGTCTAACATGTAAGTCTTTAATCCATCTTGAATTAATTTTTGTATAAGGTGTAAGGAAGGCATCCAGTTTCAGCTTTCTACATATGGCTAGTCAGTTTTCCCAGAACCATTTATTAAATAGGGAATCCTTTCCCCATTGCTTGTTTTTGTCAGGTTTGTCAAAGATCAGATAGTTGTAGATATATGGCATTATTTCTGAGGGCTCTGTTCTGTTCCATTGGTCTATATCTCTGTTTTGGTACCAGTACCACGCTGTTTTGGTTACTGCAGCCTTGTAGTATAGTTTGAAGTCAGGTAGTGAGATGCCTCCAGCTTTGTTCTTTTGGCTAAGATTGACTTGGCAATGCAGGCTCTTTTTTGGTTCCATATGAACTTTAAAGTAGTTTTTTCCAATTCTGTGAAGAAAGTCATTGGTAACTTGATGGGGATGGCATTGAATCTATAAATTACCTTGGGCAGTATGGCCATTTTCATGATATTGATTCCCAGCTGCTCGGGAAGCAGAGGCAGGAGAATCACTTGAACCCAGGAAGCGGAGGTTTCAGTGAGCCAAGATTGCACCACTGGCATTCCAGCCTGGGCAACAGAGCGAGACTCTATCAAAAAAAAAATTGATAAATAGAATGTTGTATATACATGCAATGGAATATTATTCAGCCTCAAGAAAGAATTCTCACGCATGCTACAACATAGATGCACCTTGAGGATACTATGCTAAGTGAAAGAAGTCAGACACGAAAGGACAAATATTGCATAATTCCACTTACATGAAGTACCTAGAATAGGCAAATTCATAGAGCCAGAAAGCTGAATCGTAATTGCCAGAGACTAAGGAGAGGGGAAAATGGGGAATTAATATTTAATGGCTACAGAGTTTCAGTTTGGGGATGAAAAAATTCTGGAGATAGATGGTAGTGATAGCCATGCAACATTGTGAATGCTTCTGAATTGTCCACTCAAAAATGCTTAAAATGGTAAATTTCATGTTATATATATTTTACCACAATTAAGAAAAAAAAAAAGTACAATAGACTATGTCATTTTCCTGCCTCAACATCACTAGTGGTACCCCCAGTGTAATTACATTAAAAATTAAACTCTTTACTTACTACAACAACTTAAATGGTTTCACTTAACTTGAACCTTGACTTCATGTCCACTTCATCTCTACTCTCCCTTTTGTTGTTCCATCCAAGTCTTTATAAACGTGCTGTTCCTTCCATTTGAAATATTCCAAATGGTATAAAATCTGTTTATTCTGCATGGCCGCCTTCTCTTCATTTGGGTGCTAACTCAAATGGAATAGTATCAGGAGGTTAACCTGAGACCTTAGCTACCCTAAGCAGAACAACCCCACCCCAGTTACTCTACCATATGGCATTTTTGTATTTTCATCTTAGCAGTAAAAAATAATTGAAATTCCTCTCTCTCTCTTTTTTTTTTTTTTATTTGAAACAGGATTTTGCTCTGTCACCCAGGCTGGAGTGCAGTGGTGCTATCACAGCTCACTGCAACCTCAAACTTCTGGGCTCAAGCAATCCTCCTTCTTCAGCTTCCTGAGGAGCTGGGACCACAAGTATGTAACACCATGACTAGTTTATTTTATTTTATTATATTTTTAGTAGAGACAAGTTCTCACTATGTTGCTCAGGCTGGCCTCAAACTCCTGAGCTCAAGCAATCCTCCACCTCATCCTCCAATATTGTTTGGCTGTGTCCCCACCCAAATCTCATCTTAAATTCCCACATGCTGTGGGAGGGACCCAATGGGAGGTAATTCAATCATGGATGCAGATCTTCCCTGTGCTAGTCTCATGATAGTGAGTAAGTCTCACAAGATCTGATGGTTTTAAAAATGGGTCTCACTGCACAAGCTCTCTCTTTGCCTGCCACCATCCACATAAGATGTGACTTGCTCCTCCTTGTTTTCCACCATGATTGTGAGGCTTCCCCAGCCATACGAAACTGTAGGTCCAATTAAAGCTCTTTATTTTGTAAATTGCTCAGTCTCAAGTATATCTTTATCAGCAGCATGAAAACAAAATAATGTGGTAAATTGGTACCAGTAGAGTGGGGCCTTGTTGAAAAAACACCCAAAAATGTGGAAGCAACTTTGGAACTGGGTAAGAGACAGAGGTTGGAACAGTTTGGAGGGCTCAGAAGAAGACAGAAAAGTGTGGGAAAGTTTGGAACTTCCTAGAGACTTGTTGAATGGCTTTGCCCAAAATGCTGACAGTGATATGAACAATAAGGTCCAGGCTGAGGTAGTCTTAGGTGGAGATGGGAACTGGAGCAAAGGTGACTCTTGTTATGTCTTAGCAAAGAGACTGGCAGCCTTTTGCCCCTGCCCTGGAGATTTGTGGAACTCTGAACTTGTGAGAGATGATTTAGAATATCTGGCAGAAGAAATTTCTAAGCAGCAAAGCATTCAAGATGTGACTTGGGTGCTATTAAAGGCATTCAGTTTTATAAGGGAAGCAGAGCATAAAAGATTGAAAAATTTGTAGCCTGACAATGTGATAGAAAAGAAAAACTCATTTTCTGAGGAGAAATTCAAGCTGGTTACAGAAATTTGCATAAGTAACAAGAAGCGGAATGTTAATCACCAAGACAATGGGGAAAATGTCTCCAGGGCTTGTCACAGGTCATCATGGCAGCCCCTCCCATAACAAGCCAGGAGGTCTAGGAGAAAAGGGTTTCTTGGGCCAGGACCAGGGTCTCTGTGCTATGTGCTGCCTGGGGAGTTGGTGCCCTGCATCCCAGCCACTCTAGCTGTGACTAAAAGGGGCCAAGGAACAGCTCAGCCTATTGTTTCAGAGGGTGGAAGTCTCAACCCTTGGCAGCTTCCATGTGGTGTTGAGCCTGCAGGTGCACAGAAGTCAAGAATTGAGGTTTGGGAACCTCCATCTAGATTTCAGAAGATGTAGGGAAATGCCTGGATGCCCAGGCAGAAGTTTGGTGGGGCTCTCATGAAGAACCTCTGCTAGGGCAGTGCAGAAGGGTAATGTGGGGTCTGAGCTCCCACACAGAGTCCCTACTGGGGCACCACCTAGTGGAGCTGTGAAAAGAGGGCCACCGTCCTCCAGGCCACAGAATGGAAGATGTACTGACAGCTTGCACTGTGTACCTGGAAAAGCCACAGACACTCAACACCAGCCTGTGAAAGCAGTTGGAAGGGAGGCTGTACCCTGCAAAGCCACAGGGGCAGAGTTGCCCAGGACCATGGGAACCTACCTCTTGCATCAGTGTGACCTAGATGTGAGATATAGAGTCAAAGGAGATCATTTCGGGGATTTAAGATTTGACTATCCTGCCCGATTTTGGCCTTGCATGGGGCCTGTAGCTCCTTTGTTTTAGCCAATGTCTCCCACTTGGAATGGCTGTATCTATCCAATGCCTGTACCTCCATTGTATCTAGGAAATAACTAACTTACTTTTGATTTTACAGACTCATAGGCAGAAATGACTTGCCTTGTTTTGGATGAGACTTTGGACTGTGACTTTTGATTAATGCTGAAATGAGTTAAGAATTTGGGGCACCATTGGGAAGGCATGATTGGTTTTGAAATGTGAGGACATGATATTTGGGAGGGGTCAGGGGCAGAATGATATGGTTTGGTTGTGTCCCCACCCAAATCTCATCTTGAATTCCCAGGTGTTGTGGGAGGGACTGTGGTGGGAGATAATTGAATCATGGGTACAGATCTTTACCGTGCTGTTACTGTGATAATGAATAAGTCTCATCAGATCTGATGGTTTTGGGTCACCCTGCACAAGCTCTCTCTTTGCCTGCCGCTATCCACATAAGATGTGACTTGCTCTTCCTTGCCTTTTGCCATGATTGTGAGGCCTCCCCAGCCACATAGAACTGTAAGTCCAATTGAACCTCCTTATTTTGTAAATTACCCAGTCTCAGATACATCTTTATCAGCCGCATGAAAACAGACAAATACAGCCTCCCAAACACCTGGAATTACAGGCGTGAGCTACCATGCCCAGTCTTTTCTCTTTATTTATTTATTTTTATTGTCTATCTTTCTCTCCTAGAATATAACTTCATGATGACAAAGGTCTATGTTGTTCACTACTGTTCTCATAAGAGATGCTTGCTAAATATTTGTTAACCTCTAATGACCTACAAAAATCTACTTACTGAAATATATAGGGCAAACTCTTTTGACTGCTCCCCATGCCCCTCCACTGACTCAGTAGAAATTTATTATCTCTAAGGCTAACTTTTTAATTTTGTTTTGTTTTGCAGGAGAATACTTTAAAGATTGTTGACTTCCAAAGGCCTATTTCCTTGGGCTCTGAATAACTTAAGGCTAAACTTAAGAACTTTATGCCTAATCACTGAAAGATTAATAATTCAAGCTAGATTTCTATGACCCTAATTCTCAATGCAACTACTGCCCTAAAATATTTGTTAAACTACTGATTATTAAATCTTATAGTAAAAGAAGTAAACCTAGATATCAAGAAAATATTGAGTAAAGGTAACTCTCTTAAATTGTCCAAATTATTTAATCAGAAGTTTTGCTTTCTTATTTTTCAGACCAGGACAGAATTCAATCTTTCATGTCTCTTGAGGTCACCAATGGTACTTCTCTCCTCTCACTACTTTTAAAATGACTACAAATATTAGAAAAACACAGGGTAATTTATATGAATAAATATGCAGATATTTGGCAAAACAATTAGATAAATTTATATGTCTAAGTTAAACTATCTCTTAAATTAATATGTTTTTTAGATATTATAATTATCCTGTCTAAAAATAATTAATGTGAATTATCCTAGGACCCTGGAAGCTAGCCTAAACGCCCAAAAAACCAAGGGGAAGGAAAAAAAAAGTAAATAACCCAATGTTGTATGTTTTTTAAACTCAAAGCAGCCAAAAAATACACAGCAACCTAGTTTTGGACTGAATTTCATAGATTATAAATTTTTCAGATGGCAATTAACCTTAGTAAAATATTTCTATCTACCTTAAATGTCTTAGTCACTTGTTCTGAATATAAAATAACTCACTACAGATATTAACTAACTGCTTCTTTGTTCAGTGCAGCATGAAAAATTTAACACACCAAATATTTTCTCCTCTATAAATTTGTGAATGGAATAGTTAAGATTGTGCGGTATTTTTGTTCATTTGAAAATTGATACTATACAAAGAGGTACTGGATATTTTTTTCTACAAGAAGCTAAAGAAAATGCTATGTTTATAGTTGACAGTGCCCAAATCTGATTCAGTTCAAATACTTGTCATACTTGTAAAGATTGGACACAGGCAGAATGCTTTCTGTCTTGTGACTTTTTCTAACCTGTAAGATTTACTGAAAAAACTTATAAAATAGCTTATATTTCCTGAAGCTTTGCTTTGTGATCATTTCATTATCTGGATGATATCATCAGAATTTTTCTTTCCTTTTAGATATAAAATCATGCTACACTTCTCTGACACAATGAAAAAAAAAATTTAGCAATATTGAACTTCACTTCTGGGTTTCCAAGATTAGCACATTGCAAAGAGTGAACCAAATCTACTTCGTCAATAAGATGCCAAGGTTCTTGTCATGGTGAGCATATTAAAAACGATGATTCTGAGGAAAACATGTCTGTAAACATTTGGCATAACCTTAAAATACATTACAAAAACAGTCCTGAAAAAGAAAACAGAAAAGAGGCAACCCATCAAAAGAGTAACAGATATTTTCTTTATAAAAGGAAGACTAGGAATTCAATTTATGCCATGGTGTAGTTACAAGAAATGAATTTACTCTACTGGCCTACACAACTAGAAAACCAGACAAATATTAATCAACTGTTCTCAAACCTTGGACAATGGACATATGGGACTATGATACCAGAGGGAAGGAAAATAAAATGAGCTTTGTAGATGTTCCAGATTACTGTATGGCCTGAGGGAAGATTCCAGGCTGTAGAGTAGGGAGAGGGAGCCCAAATAGAACTCAGAAGTCTCATTGTGTGAAAGAGAAAAAAGTAAGTGTTCATGGGGGAGAAAGTGACTAGAATTTGTGGGACAGAGTATTGAAAAGAAGAGAATTGCCCAGAGAACTCTGTAGATACATAGAAGAGTCTCCCAAAGTCCTTACCTTAGTATTTATCTGTGTATAAGTGAAAGGAAACTAGCTGAGGATAGGAAAAGAACTACTGGAAAGGAGAAGGCAGAATAATTTCCAGGGTTCACACAAGGCTAGAAATAATTTGCCTTTCCCTGACCAGGTAGAAATGCTTCCTATCATATGGGGCATCCGGTAAAGTTCTCAGAAAGAAATACCTTACGTTTGGAGCTCAATGAGATCTAGACTAAAAAAACAGTCTGAACCCACCTTAAAAGAACCTAAAAGCAAGTCTCAAAAAGAGCAATTTGAACCCAAATAACTTTACTGTGTACCAGGAAATAATCAAATACTACTGAAAAAAAAACACAATCCAACATTCTACAATGTAAAATTATACACAGTATCCTGCATCCAGTGGAAAAATTTTCACGCATGCAACAAAGCAGGATATTATGACCCACGGCAGGAGAAAAAAGTCAATAGATACAGATCCAGAAATGACAGAGATTGTAAAAATGCTAGACAAGTGTATTAACCAGGGTCTTCTAGAGGGACAGAACTAATAGAATAGATGTGTCTATAAAGGGGAGTATATTAAGGAGTATTGACTCACACGATCACAAAGTGAAGTTCTAAAATAGGCCATCTGCAAGCTGAGGAGCAAGTCTGAGCTCCAAAACCTCAAAAGGGGGAAGCCAACAGTGCCACCTTCAGTCTGTGATCGCAGTTCCAAGAGTCCAAAAGCTGAAGAACCTGGAATCTGATGTTTGATGACGGGAAGCATCTAGCATGGGAGAAAGAGGTAGGCCAGAAGAATAAGCCAGTATAGTCTTTCCATGTTCCCCTGCCTGCTTTTATCGTAGCCACGCTGGCAGCTGATTAGGTGGTGCTCACTCAGATTGAGGGTGGGTCTTCCTCTCCCAGTCCACTGACTCAAATGTTATACCCCCACTAAAATTCTCACATGTTCTTAAGGGAATAAGTATGATCATTGCAACATCACACATGGCATCAAAGAGTAGGAAGCAGTCTGGGTTTCCTCTAAGAGAGTGGTAGGTAAAGTATGGTGGACGCACTATGCAATCACAAAGTACAATAGATTCAAGTACGCAGGGAAAATAAGCAAATATTAAAAATACAGGCTGGGCACTGTGGCTTATGCTTGTAATCCCAGCACTCTGGGAGGCCGAGGTGGGAGGATCACAGGTCAGGAGATCAAGACCATCCTGGCGAACACGGTGAAACCCCATCCCTACTAAAAATACAAAAAATTAGCCAGGCATGGTGGTGGGCGCCTGCAGTCCCAGCTACTCAGGAGGCTGAGGCAGGAGAATTTCTTGAACCTGGGAGGCAGAGGTTGCAGTGAGCCGAGATCACACCACTGCACTCCAGCCTGGACGACAGACCAAGACTCTGTCTTAAAAAACAAACAAATAAACAAAAACCATAATGCTGAATTTTAAAAAAATAAGAAATAGAATGAGATCTACAAAACAATTTTCTGTTAGTTATATGCAATAAGATAATAATATATTTTACAAGGGACCATACAATAAAATGCATATGGAACATGTAAGAATATTTGAGGGGAAAGGGAATGGAATTGATCTAGGTGTTAAATATGAATAATTAGAAAAAAGAAACAATAAAGGGGTTTTGCAAGGGCAAGTTATAATAATGTGCCCTGAACTCAGGAGTATGATTAGTTCAATACTGTCTAGCTGATGTCAAAAGAAGAAAAACAGAGAGAAAAAAACTCAGTATTACAAGGTAAGATCACAAAGGTGAAAGGTGTAACAGCTATATGAACATCAAATGGAAAAAGTAGAGTGCTTTGTTTCATTTTTTCTAACATATCTTTCCAAATAGGCCCAGAGATCCAGCAGTGAAAAATGAATGAGGCTCTGTGAATAAAATATCGTGTTATAAAAATAAAGCTGCTTTACTTCTACTCTGACTTCTGGGCAGGGTCACAATGCAAAGATAAATATGATTCTGTCATTTGTCCAGAATAAGTCTATATAAAATTTCCCAATTTAGAACTGGAAGGAAATTCAGGGATCACTTAGCTCAAACATTTCAATTTTAAACAACATGGAAATAGTGGGCCACCATTCTTAAGTGACTTGCATAAAATATACACTAGGTGAGTCGAATAATTGGGCCTAGAATCCCATTTTCTGCCCTGTTCCATGAGGTCCCCTTCTCTTTGCCCCACTGAACTCATCACTGACTTGAAGAACACACCAGATGTGGAGGAGGCCACACTACAAACTATGGTGACAAAACACTCAAAGACCAAAATAAAATTATGCCTCAATCTGAAGCCTTTGGAATGAGTTTTCCCATATACTTGATTTGGGGTTGCTTTAATTAAAAACACGCTTTTGGTTTCAATACTTACTAATGAGATCATATCTTTCTTTAAAAAATTAGCACTCGTTTTTTTTGCCTCAATAAAAAATTCGAAAAAAAAATTAAATTACATTACTTTGAACAAAATATTTCATGATCCTCATTTGAAGCCTGAAGTTATTTATGGTCATAGGTAAAGAAAGTACAGAAGGTTCTGTCAGATCATTTCTTATCCCAAAGACATAACCTGGAAGTTGTGTCTTGTTACCTTTTTTCTAGAAAGTTTATATTTATTACTGTTAAAACATTCTTACAATTAATTATGTACATTAAGTAAATTAATCTCTCTTCCAGGTCAATCTTCAATGGTAGAATTTATATCGCTTTTTGTCCTTGTCCTCCAAGGTACTGTTTCCAGTTTGTACTGTACATCAATAATGCAATATTACGCAGTGCTTATTCTATTTATTATATCCCATGTAGATTTAATTTTTTTATACTTTTTATTTTTTCAACTTCGATTATAGATTCAGAGGGTACATATGTAGAACTGTAGCAAAGACAAATGACATATTGCAAGACACTGAAATTTGGAGTATGAATGAATCTGTCTCCAGGGTAGTAAGCATAATACCCAATAGGTAGTTTTTCAGCCCTTGCACCTTTCTGGCCCTTCTCCCTCTAGTAGTCCCCAGTATCTATTTTTCTCATATTGATGTCCATGTATAATCAATGTTTAGTTTCCACTTATAACTGTGGACATGTGGTAACTGGTTTCCTGTTTCTGTATTAATTCATGCTTAGAGTAATAGCGTCCAGCTGCATCCAATTTGCTGCAAATAACATAATTTTTTTTTCTTTATTATGGCTGTAGAGTATTCCATGGTGTATATGCACCACATTTTTGTTATCCAGTACAGAGTTGGGTTTATTCCATGTCTTGCTATTGTAAATGGTGCTGCAATGAACACACAAGTGCATGTCTTTTGGATAGAATGACTTATTTTCAATTGGGTATATACACAGCAATGAATTGCTGGATCAAATGGTAGTTAAACTCATTCCTTTGAGAAATCTCCAAACTGCTCTCTACAGTGTCTGGACTAATTTACATTCCCACTGGCAGTGTATAAGTGTTACCCTTTCTCTGCAACCTCACCAGCATCTGTTTTTAGACTTTTTAACAAAGGCAATTCTAACTGATGTGACATGATATCTCACTGTGGTTTGGATTTGCATTTCTCTGGTGATTAGTGAGGATGATCATTGTTTCATATGTTTGTTGGCTGCTTGTATGTCTTCTTTTGAGAAATGTTGGTAAACGTTCTTTGTCCACACTTTAATGGGGTTATTTGGCTTTTGCTTTTTGAATTGTTCATGTTCCTTACAAATTCTGGATATTAAGCCTTTGTCAGAGACATAGTTTGTGAATATCTCCTCCCATTCTGTAGGTTGTCTGTTTACTCTCCTGATAGCTTCTCTTGCTGTGCAGAAACTGAAGAGTTTTATTAGGATTCACTTGTCAATTTTTGTTTTTGTTGCAATTGTTTTTGAGGACCTACACAAATTCTTTACCAAGGTCAAGGTCAAGAAGGGTATTTCCAAGGTTTAATTCTAGGATTTTTATACATTGAGGTCTAACAGTTGAGTCTTACATGTCTTGAGTTAATTTTTATATATAGTGAAAGAGAGAGGTCTAGTTTTATTCTGCATGTGGCAAGCCAGCTATCCCAGCACCATTTAATGAATAGGAAACCTTTTCCCCATTGCTTACTTTTGTCAACTTTGTCAAAGATTGGATGGTTGTAAGGCTGTGGCTTTATTTCTGGATTCTCTATTCTGTTCCATTGGTCTGAATTTTTTACCAGTACCATGTTGTTTTAGTTATAGTAGTCTTATAGTATAGTTTGAAATCAGATAATGTGATGCTTCCAGTTTTGCTCCTTGTGCTTACGAATGCTTTGGCTGTTTAGGCTCTTTTTAGGTTCCATATGAGTTTCAGAATAGTTTTTTTCTAATTCTGCAAAAAAATTATATTGGTAATTTGATAGCAATAGTATTGGATCTGTAGATTGCCTTGGCCATTTTAATAGTACTGATTCTTTCTGTCAGCATGGAATGTTTTTTCTACTTGTTTGTGTCATCTCTGATTTCTTTGAGCAGTGTTTTGTAATTCTTGTTGTAGAGCTATTTCACCTCGTTGGTTAGCTATGTTCCCAGGTATTTTATCATTTTTGTGGCTATTGTAAAAGAAATTGTATTCTTGGTTTTGCTCTCAGTAAGACTGTTATTGGTGTATAGAAATGCTACTGATTTGTGTACATTAATTTTGCATCCTGAAACTTTACTAAAGTCATGATATGGTTTGTCTGTGTCCCGAAATAATCTCAACTTGAATTATGATCCCCATAATCCTCACGTGTCCTGGGAGGGACCCAGTGGGAGGTAAGTGAATCATGGGGTGGCTTCCCCCATGTTGTTCTCATCATAGTGAGTGAGTTTTCACTAGATCTGATGGTTTTATAAGCGTCAGCATTTCCCCTGCTGGCCCTCATTCTCTCTCCTGCTGTCCTGTGAAGAGGTGCCTTCCGCCATGATTGTAAGTCTCCTGAGGCCTCCCCAGCCACACAGAACTGTGAGAAAACTCAAGCTCTTTTCTTTATATATGACCCCATCTCAGGTATTCCCTCATAGCAGTGTGAGAGCAGACTAATACAAGTCGTTTATCACTTCTAGGAGCATTTTGTCAAAGTCTTAGGGTTTTCTAGGTATAGAATCATATTGTCATCAAAGAGAGATAGCTTAACTTATTTTCCTATGATGACATTTATTTCTTTCTCTTCTCTTATTGCTTTAGATAGGACTTCCAGTATTATGTTGAATAGAAATGGTTAAGAGTCAACAGTTTTGTCTTGTTCCATTTCTCAAGGGGAATGCTTCCAGCTTTTGCCCATTCAGTATAAGATTGGCTGTGGGTTATTTGAGGTATGATCTTTTGATGCCTATTTAGTAGGAGGTTTTTAACATTAAAGGATGTCAAATTTTATCCAAACCTTTTTCTGCTTCTATTGAGATAATCATATGGTTTTTGCTTTTAATTATATTTATGTGGTTAATATATTTATTGAATTGCATATGTTGAACCAATCTGTATCCCAGGAATAAAGCCTAATTGATACTGACAAATTACCTTTTTGATGGGCTGCTGGATTCAGGTTGCTACTATTGTGTTTAGAATTTTTGTATCTATTTTCATCAGGGATATTGGACTGAAGTTTTCTTTTTTCATTGTGTCTCTGTCAGATTTTATTATCAAAATGATACTGGTTTCATAGAATGAGTTAAGGAGTAGTACATCCTCCTCAATTTTTTAGAATAGATTCTGTAGGAATGGTACCAGCTCTTCTATGCACATCTGGTAAAATTTAGCTGTGAACCCATCTGGTCCAGGGCTCTTTTCAGTTGGTAGGTCTTTTATTACTGAATAAATTCAGAACTCATTATTGGTCTGTTCAGGATTTAAATTTCTGCCTGGTTCAATCTTGGGAGGTTGTGTGTTTCCAGGAATTTCCATTTCTTCTAAATTTTCTAGTTTGTTTACATAGAAGGGTTGATAATAGTCTCTAAGGATTTTCTATATTCCTTTAAGGGCTGTCACCTTTGTCATTTCTGATTCTGCTTATTTGGATCTTCTCTCTTTTCTCTGTGTTCATCTAGTTACCATTCTATCAATCTTGTTTATGCTTTCAGAAAACAAACTTTAGGTTTTGTTTATTTTTTAAAAATATTTACTACTCAATTTCATTAATTTCTACTCTAATTTTGGTTATTTCTTTTCTTCTGCTAGCTTTAGGGTTGGTTTGCTCTCATTATTATAGTTCCTCTAGATGCAATGTTAGGTCATTCCTTTGACATCTTTTAAACTTCTTCATCTAGGCATTTAGTATTGCAGGATCTGGTCAGCAGCCTGCAATGCAACGGGGCTCTCTCTTTGTTCCCAGGTGGATCAGCAGGTTGAGAAATCATAGACACACACAAGATAGTGAAAGCTGGGTCCAGGGGAGTCACTGCCTTCTGGGCCCATGGTGCCAACAATGCACTAGATATACCAGCATTTATTATTAAGTTCAGTGAGGGCGGGGGTAGGTTAGTGAGGGATTTAGGATCATTTGATTATGAGGTGAGATGGTCACATGGGGATGAAGTAATTCTTTAACGTAACATTTGTACGTAGAAGTACAGTACATTTGTATGTAGAAGTACAGTATACAGAGATAAGAATTTACAATATAGTGTGTGCATCAGTAATTTCTAACAGAGCCTTAAAACAGAAACATAATCTTTCCATAACCTATGATTAGCAAGATATTAATCAGCAGTAACAATTGCAACAAAAGCTGGTTACAAACAATCCAGGGAAACAGGACGTGAAGCTAGACAACCAGTTAGACCAGAAATTCTCGGAAGGGACTATGCCTTAACCCTAAAGAGGCCTAGAAGAGCTGTGGCAAGATGAGGGCGTTTATAGCCCTTTCTTATCCACAGGGACAGGCGCCCGTTTATAGGCTCTCCACATGGGTCGCATTCCATTCCCAGAGCTATGAATATCTGCTTTTCTGGGATAGGAATCTTGGTGATGTGAAACCTCCCTGACTGCACGTCCATTCATAGGCTCTCTGCAGGGGGAAGCACATCATGCGCTGCTGGCTCGTTCTGGCAGTCCAACCTGGCATTGTCTTTACACAATCCTGCATGCAATTTTGTATTTACAATAACCAAGAGCATTTCATCTTTTATTCCATAGCAATAGTTTCAGGGGGTCTCCCTACAATTTAGTGTTATAAATTTTCCTCTTAACACTGCTTTAGCTATATCCCAAAGATTCTGGTATGTTGTGTCTCTGTTTTCATCAGTTAAGTTTTTGGATTTTTTCTTTAATTTTGTTATTTATTCAAAAGTCATTTAGCAGCAAGCTGATCAATTTCCACGTAATTGCGTTGTTTTTAGAGATCTTCTTGGTATTGATTTCCATTTTTATTGCACTGGGGGTTAAGAGTGTGGTTGGTATGATTTTTTTTTAATTTATTGAGACTTGGCTTATGATCAAGCATGCGGTCATTCTTAGAGCATGTTCCACGTGTAGATGAGAAGAATGCACATTCTGTGGTTGTTGGGTGGCATATTCTGCAGATGTCTGTTAGGTCTGATTGGTCAAGTGTTGAGTTTAAGTCCAGAATGTCTTTATTAGTTTACTGCCTCAATGATCTGTCTAATGCTGTCAGTAGGGTGTTGAAGTCTCCCACTATTATTGGCTGTCTAAATCTCTTTGTAGGTCTATAAAAACTTGTTTTATGAATCTGGGTATTCCAATTTTGAGTGTGTATATATGTAGGTTAATTAAATCATCTTGTTGATTTGAACTCCTATTACGTAATATCTTTCTTTGTCCTTTTTAATCATTGTTGCTTTAAAGTCTGTTTTATCTGATATAAGAATAGTAACCCCTGTTCTTTTTTGTTTCCCATTTGCATGATAGATCTTTCTCCATCCTTTTCCTTTGAGCCTGTGCATGTAGTTCTATTTGAGATGGGTCTCTCGAAGAGAGTAGAAGGTTGGGTCTTGTTTCTTTATTCAACTTGCCACTCTATGCTTTTTAAGTGAGATTTCTGGCCCATTTTCAGTCAAGGTTCATTTTGATATGTGATGATTTGGTCCTGTCATTGTGTTGTTAGCTGGTTTTTATGTAAACTTGACTGTGTAGTTGCTTTATAGTGACTGTGCACTATGTACCTACGTGTGTTTTTGTGGTGTCAGGTATCATTCTTTCATTTCTGTGCTTAGCACTCCCTTAAGGACCTCTTGTAAGGCAGATCTAGTGGTAACAAATTCCATCAGGGTTGGCTTCTCTGAAAAGGATTATATTTCTCCTTCACTGATAAAATTTACTTTGGTGGGATCTGAAATTCTTGATTGGAATCTTTTTTCTCTTAGGATTCTCAAAATAGGTCCCCAATTTTGTCTGCCCTGTAAGGTTTCTGCTGAAAGGTCCAGTGTTAGCCTGATGGCATTGCCTTTGTAAATGACCTGTCCCTTCTCTCTAGCTGCCATTAAGATCTTTTATTTCATGTTGACCTTTGAGAATTTTATGACTATGTGTCTTGGAGATGGTCATCTTGTACAGTCTCACTGGAATTCTCTGATTTCTCAAATTATTTTATTGAATTTGCATGTCTAACTCTCTAGCGAGATTAAGAAAATTTTCATAGACTGTATTCTCTAATTTGTTTCCCAAGTTGCTTACTCTCTCTCCTCTCAGGAATGCCAGTTACTCCTAAGTTTTGACTCTTTACATAATCACATATTTTCACAGAGTTTTTGTTCATTTTTAATTTTTTTTTCTCTGCCTAAGTTGATTTGAGTGAGTGGTCTTTGAGCTCTGAGTTCTTTCTTCAACTTGGTCTATTCTGTTGTTAATGCTTCCAACTGTATTATGAAATTCCAGTAGTGAATTTTTAATTCCAGAAGTTACCTTTTAAAATGGCTACATCATCTTTCAACTCTTGAATTGTTTCACTGTTTTCCTTGGGCTGGGTTTCAACTTTCTCCCGTATCTTGTTGAGCTTCATTCTCATTCACATTCTGAATTTGATGTCTGTCATTTCAGCTATTTCAATCTGGTTAAGAACCAGTACTGGGGTGCTAGTGTGGTCACTTGGAAGTAAGAAGACACCCGGGGTTTTAGACTTGTCAGGGTTCTTGCACTGGTTCTTTCTCATCTGTGAGTGCTGGTGTTCCTTTACCTTTTGACGTTGCTATGAGTTGGATGGAGCTTTTTATTTTTATGTTCTTTATTTCTCTTGAGGGTTTGACAATGGTATAAGTTGAGTACAGTTGATTGGCTTTATTTCTGGATGCTTTCAGAGGGCCAAAGCTTTGTATGGGATTTTTATTCATGGCTAGTGTCCTGCACTTGTTTTCACCAACAATAAGTGCTGGAAGAATTCTTTAGTGGTATAATTCAGGCTGTGATCCAGTAGACGGTGCTTAAGAGTAAGGGAGGGGAGACAGATTCTTGTTTAGTCATGTGCCCCTTTTGTATTTCAGTGTGTTCACAGCAGTGCTCCTCTAACATCTGTTCCATCTCTTTCCCATTTTGTAACAACCATACATTTTGCATGGGATTAACCTCATTCCTCTTCCAAGGTAAACAGATCAGCTTGCTGCTTCTTTTGCCATTGTTATTGGCCCAGGTTGGGGAGCAACACTTCAACAGCCTCATTCAGTTCAAGGTGTTCCTCTGACCACAGTTGTTAGCTCTTATTGGTCAAATCAAATGAAGACCAAGAACTTGAACTTGCCAGTTAAAGATTCCTTTTTACAGTCAAGGCTAACCTACAAACCTTGTTTGGTGTACAGGTGTGTGGGCTACAGCCACAGGTGTCACTGGGCTTCATAAAGCAACCACATTGAGGAAAAGGAAGATTATTATACTTATGAGAAAGCAGAGCTGGGAGAATCTCAGAGAACAAGACCTGGCACTCTGACACAACTATGTTAGATAGCACTCCACTTTTAGGTTTTCTATTTTAGAAGCCAATACACTACTTTTATTTTAAAACCTATTTAACTTTATTTTGGGTTATGTGCAACCAGAAAATCCTGAAATTAGATAAACAGTAGTTTTACTATTCAGAGGTGTGTGTGTGTGTGTGTGTGTGTGTGTGTGTGTGTGCTATGTGTTTCAGTTAAAACATTTTAAAACCAAGTTGGGAATCAATAATACATACACTTTTGTAGGCTGTTATTTTGATAGTTATGAATATATGTGCATGTTACAAAATTTCAATCACATCATTTTAATAGCTTCATATAATTGCATTATATGTTTACATCATAATTTATTAAATCTAGCCTTTATATTTGGACACTTACGTTGGTTCTGATTTCCTACTGTCTAAACAGCAATATACTAAAAAACTTTGTAACTATATTTTCTGCCATATTTACGCTTATCTCTTTGGAATAAATACCAAAATATGTGACAATTATAGGGTTAAATACCATATATAAGTCTAACAATTTTAATTTGCATTATAAATTTGCCCAAAAAAGGCAATTCTACCCCCCCAAAAATGTATAGCAGTCCTCATTTCAATATTTCCTTTGTTATACAGTTATTTTTGGTAGTAAAATATTGACAACAAACTCCTTCGAAGTCATAATTGTAAATTATAATTATACACATTTAATATTGTTGATGTTAATAATGTAATAGATAAATTAAAACTCTACCACAAGTTTCTGAGAATTAGGTATTATGAACTTATTTTAAATCAAAAGAAACATTTCAAGTACAAATAAGATTTCGGATATAACATAGCTAATAAATTATAGAACAATTCAATTTTACTATTGCTGAATCCAATAATCTCTAGAGCGCAATAGAAGTCAAAATATGCCCTGTGAAATTCCAACCCAGATAAAAATATAGTGACCTTAAGTTTTATCAGAGTTCACTCATGATATATTCATATTGACACAGCACCCATCAAGATTAGCATGTGTGCAAGATTTTTCAATTTTAGTGAATTTTCGTTAATAATAATTACATTAAATTAAGCCAGGATGATTAAACAGACTTTCATTGTGTACTTGCAGTATCTGCCATCTAGTGCATGAATCACATGTGTAGCGAACATAATTCTCATTTTTAACACATGGTTAAATCTGAAAAGAGACCACAGATAACTAACACATCTTGCATTCCCTAGACTATTTGTTTACAGAACTTAACCCATCCTGTAGTAGTCCATTTTCATGCTGCTGATAAAAATATACCCAAGACTGGGAAGAAAAAGAGGTTTAATGGATTTACAGTTCCACATGGCTGGAAAGAACTCACAATCATGGCAGAAGGCAAGGAGGAGCAAGTCACGTTTTACATGGATGGCAGCAGGAAAAGAGTAGAGAAAAGAACTTGTGCAGGGAAACTCCCATTTTTAAAACCATCAGAATTGTGAGACTCATTCACTGCCACAAGAAGAGCACTGGAAATACCCATCCCCATGATTCAACTGCTTCCCACCAGGTTCCTCTCACGACACGTGGGAATTCAAGATGAGATTTGAGTGGGGACACAGACAAACCACATTATTCTGCCCCTGGCCCCTCCCAAATTTAATGTTCTCACATTTGAAATCCAATCATGCCTTCCCAATAGTCCCCCAAAGTCTTAACTCATTTCAGCATTAACTCAAAAGTCCACAGTCAAATGTCTCATCTGAGACATGGCAAGTCGTTCTGCCTATGAGCCTGTAAACTCAAAAGCAAGCTAGTTACTTTCTAAATACAAGGGGCATACAGGCATTGGGTAAATACAGCCATTACAGGTGAGAGAAACTGGCCAAATCAAAGGAGCTACAGGCCCCATTCAAGTCCAAAATCCAGTGGGGCAGTCAAACCTTAAAGTTCCAGAATGATCTCCTTTGATTCCATGTCTCATATCCAGGTCGTCCTGATGCAAAAGGTGGGTTTCCACAGCCTTGGGCATCTCCGCCTCTGTGGCTTTCCACAGTATAGCCCCACTCCTGGCTGCTTTCACAGGCTGGCATTGAGTGTCTGTGGCTCTTCCAGGCACACGGTGCAAGCTGTTGGTGCATCTTCCATTCTGAGGTCCAGAGGACAGTGGCCCTCCTCTCACAACTCCACTAGGTCGTGCTCCAGTAGGGACTCAGGGTAGGGACTCTGGCCCCACGTTTCCCTTCCATACTGCCCTAGCATGGGTTCTCCATGAGGGCCCTGCACCTTCAGTAGACTCCTGCCTTGGCATCCAGGTATTTCCATAGATCCTCTGAAATGTAGGTGGAAGTTCCGAAACCTCAATTCTTGACTTCTGTGCACCTGCAGGCTCAACACCATGTGGAAGCTGCCAAGGCTTAGGGCTTCCACCTTCTGAAACAACATCCTGAACTGTACCTTGGCCCCTTATAGTCATGGCTGGAACAGCTAGGACGCAGGACACCAAGTCCCTAGGCTGCACACGGCACAGGGACCCTGGGCCCGGCTCCAGACCTGTGTTGGGAGGGGCTGCCATGGAGACCTTTGACATGCCCTGGAGACATTTTCCCCATTGTCTTGGGGATTAACATTTAGCTCCTTGTTACCTATGCAAATTTCTGCAGCAAATTTCTCCCCAGAAAATGGGATTTTCTTTTCTATTGCATTGGCAGGCTGCAAATTTTATGAACTTTTATGCTTTTCTTCACTTATAAAAATAAATGCATTTAACAGCACCCAAGTCACTTCTTGAATGCTTTGCTGCTTAGAAATTTCTTCTGCCAATATCGTAAATCTTCTCTCTCAAGTTCAAAGTTCCACAAATCTCTAGGGCAGGGACAAAAGGCCACCAGTCTCTTTGCTAACACATAAACAGAGTCACATTTGCTCCAGTTCCCAACAAGTTCCTCATTTCCACCTGAGACCACTTCAGCCTGGACTTTATTGTCCATATCACTATCAGTATTTTGGTCAAAACCACTCAAGAAGTCTCTAGGGAGTTCCAAACTTTCCCACATTTTCCTGTGTTCTTCTGAGTCCTCCAAACTGTTCCAACCTCTGTATGTTACCCAGTTCCAAAGTCGCTTCCATATTTTTGGGTATCTTTTCAGCACTGCCCCACTCTATTCGTACCCATTTACTGTATTAGTCCATTTTCATGGTGCTGATGAAGACATAGCTGAGACTGGGCAGTTTACAAAAGAAAGATGTTTAATAAACTTACAGTTCCATGTGGCTGGGGAGGCATCTCAATCATGGCAGAAGGCAAGGAGGAGCAAGTCACGTCTTACATGAATGGCAGCAGGCAAAGAGAAGAGAGCTTGTACAGGGAAACTCCCATTTTTAAAAACATCAGATCTTGTGAGACTCACTCACTCTCACAAGAACAGCACAGGAAAGACTCACCACTATGAGTCAACTACCTCCCATGACATGTGGGAATTCAAGATGAGATTTGGGTGGGGACACAGCCAAACCATATCATTCCTTTTGAGGAAAGCACACTGAGTATTTGCTGATAATATGAAGTAAGCTCAGATACAAGTGGTGAGGGTCAGCTTACTCTTTCTGATCTCAGATTTTAGTGGAACAGTATTTGATTTCTCTCTTAGGAATTTGGTACTCCAGATAGCGGTTCTGTGGCTCTTGCTGTAGACTGTTAGATGCAATAGGCTTGCAGGACACATATCAATGGGTTCAATGGGAAATATGGGAAATTATTGGTTAGATGCACATGAACCATGGGCAGGAAAAAGAGGCTGTAGAGAGCTGTCTGAACACTCTTGCTACAATTATTCTGCCATGTATTAAATGCCATATATCAGACTTTTTAAGTGTTTGACAATGCTTTTTGAGTTTGTAATAAGTCCTTTTAGCAATGAGCTAAAAAATAACGAAAATGCTTTATAAATAAAAAATTAAAGACTAAATTTTCTTATTTCAGAAAAGGTGATGATAAATGCTTAGCCTGGACAAATATTTATCAACATTTACTTTCCATCATAGGAAGAATGTGATATCATTAATCCCATCTAAACAGAAAGACACAAATATACAGAAGAAATGTCTGCATCTACCTCAAAAGTTAATACTAATTTTTAAGAAAAATATTCCCTAAGGTGACAACTTAAAACTTGCAGCCGCAAAAGGTGCTACACATCACCTTATGATGGATGGCTTTTCATTTGGATCTAATAATTATTTGTTTAAATTCATTCTGCCAATTTTCAATTCCAAGATTTCTTATGCACAAGGACTCAACCAATTGCTGTTAATGGACTTTGTGAACAGAAAATGATCCTTGTAAACAGTTCAAAGATACAGATTTTATTTCAATATCTTAGGTGCTTCAAAAAGAAATTCACTAATTCCAATCATGGTTTGATTTTTTAATCTAATTTATAAAACCAACATAAAACTTTTCAAAATTCATCCCAATGAAGGTGAAAAATCTGACATTGTTTTCAGAAATATCAATACAAAGTGTAGCAGTAAAGATGAAACTATTTTTGTAATATAAACTAATTTTGATGAAGTATGGTCATGACAAAAACATTTTTGCCAATTTCAGTGTGATAGATTATGCTTTTGTAAAGAACAATAATTTTAATAATATCTCCCATTCCACATGCTCTGCTTACAATGTGACCTTGGCACTCACTCTGTAAAGTGGTTGGAGTCTATACTCCCTGCCTTAAATGCGGGCAACCATTTGCTAATGTTCTAATGGCCTGTGACAGGTAGATTATCAAAATGCCTTGGATTTCTGTCTCCTTCCCTTGGGACACCTGCTCCTGTTCTCTTCCATGCTCTGAGGGACCCAAACAAGCCCATTCAAGGAGACCATTTAGTGACTTGACATGTAAATGCTCCAGGCAAAGTTCAGCCAAGGTCCTAATCAACAATTAGCTTCATTCACCAGGTAAATGAATGACAATTTCTCCAGATGATCCAGCCTCCAGCTGCTAAGTTACTTCAAACTTCTAATTCTTCCTACCTGATGTCCTAGACATTGTGTGGCAAAGATGGGTCATCCTGTTGTACTCTGTCTAAATTCCTGACAGACAATCTGGAGCATAACAAAGTTGTTATATGCCATAATGTGTTGGGAGGTAATTCGTTAGGTAGTTATAGCTAACCAGCACATTGTTTAAAATGTTGAAGCAGAAATGTGTTTGAAATCTATTGTGATGTGCATGTAATTCAAAACAGTTTATGAGACAGCTGTGATATTCTACAATTTGAAATCGAAGCTATAGTTGTCAGAAATTATACAACTACATTATATATAAGTGCTTAGAATACATAAAATACAAAATGTTATGAAGGAGCTGAGATTTAATACAAAAACTGTTTAGTATGGTGGCATGGACTTTTGACTGCTCAGCACCAATTATTGAGACTCACTCTTTAAAAATGTACTTTTGAAATCAATGTAAATATCCTATATACGGTAAACATTTTATTAAAAAGTTATCCACATTTAGGTTACCTTTTGTCCAAAATCAGTTGTACATCTTTAATCTAATTATTTTAACAATACTTAACAATTATGTTAATATTTAACAAGCGGAATACATACTCAAGACATTTGGAATCTTTGAGCAATTTGTAAATATTGAAAATGAAGCTTTCTTGCAAACAGGAATATATTGAAATTTTTCTTAAAATGAGGGGGGAAATCTTAAGAATGATAAAATGATAAGAATGACAAGATTTCAAACAGGATAAAATTTAATTTTTTTAATTCTGTAAACTGGAATATCTTAAATTCTGAGGAAAATAATGGTATAGAGATTATATTTTTATTGAAAGCATTTATATTTTGAATCAGCATGGTATTAATATTGAGAATTCTATAATTTATTTGAAAAACTTTGACTTTAAAAATAATTTCCAAAGCAAGATACTTGGAATGGAGTAAAGAAAGACAATGTCTATAAAAATATTTATGTAGACACATCTCCATGTTTCAAAATGCAAGAATAGTAAGAATATTCTTTATATAGCAGAATTTGATCTTATCTTACTAGGTATACCAGCATCTGTAGAGAAAGTGTTTGCTCAATTAAAAATACTGATGGACATCAACTAAAGATATCCATATCAAATATGTTAATAACATAATACAACTTTCAAATGATTGCAGTCAATTTGATGTAAAAAAGTAAGATCCTGGCCGGTAGTGTAAGTTCATGCCTGTAATCCCAGCAATTTGAAAGGCTGAGGCAAGTGAATTGCTTGAGCCCTCAAGTTTAAGACCAGCTTTGGCAGCATGGCAAAACCCCATCTGTACAAAAAATACAAAAAAATTAGGTGGGCATAGTGGTATGCACTCATAGTCCCAGCTACCCGGGAGGCTGAGATGGGAGGGTCACCTGAGCCTGGAAGGTTGGGGCTACAGTGAACCATGATCATGCCACTGCACTCCAGCCTGGGTGACAGTGTGAGCCCATGTCCAAAAAAAAAAAAACTGTTCTTTAGAAAAATACTAATGTTAAATTATTAGAAAGCAACAAGACTAAAAAACTGATTCAAGCACAGGAATACAGACCAAGAATAATTATTTCATTTGGTTTTTTAATGTTCATCTCATTCATAAAATTTTTACTTTTTATAAAGATTTTGTTTTATAAAATAATTTTAAATAAGACTTTTTATGTCTACCAATATACTAAAACAAATTTTTTAGTCAACAAATATTCAAATATGTAAAATTATATTACTTGTAGCGGGTCTTTTTATTTTCAAAAGCATTCTACTTGAACAGTAAATTATGTGGCCACCTGAATATAAAGGAGCTATTTTCAATAATTATTCAAAACTAAGCAGTTCTGCCTTCACTTCAGGTCAGTAGAGATAATTCTCATAAGGTGCTAAGCCTTAGGAATCAAATCCATTTGGGGTCATTACACACAATTGGGAAAATAAATACCTCTATGGCAGCTCCCCAGACCTACAGATTGCAGGTCTGATCAGAAGGCTGACAGAGAAATTTATTTTTTAAGTAGCAACACTACAAAGGACAAGGGAACGTGTTCAAGTGCTCAGTGGCAGATATTGGCTATAGTTAACTTGGTAGATAGTGGCTGCTCCTTCACCACTCTCCTATTCTTATCCTAGTGATTTACCCATCTGCTTTTTACCCATGGGCTTCCAAACAGCACGGTAAGTGTTCTAGAAACTCAATTAAGCTAGTGGAATCAGATGGCAGGAGGTAGATACTCTCTGAAATAGGCCAAACATTTTCCACATTGGTCAGCTCTACAAAACTGAGAAAGAACTTTTGTTTTTCCTTCTACATACAGTACCAAATTAATGGAGCCTTGTAATTTAAATTGTGTTCATTAGAATCTTCTCATTTAAAACTTCACAAAGTCAGGTTGCCTGTGGGGCAGAGAAACTGTAATGAGCCGGCGTCTGCCAAAGTTAGGGCAATGATTTCAAGGTCATAGACTGGCAGAATGCTGAAGGAGAGATGACTGGCAAATATCAAAGATGCAGAAGAAGAAAGTGTATTCAAGCATTTGTTGAAATTGTGCCACTGCTAGAATTTATTTAAGTAGGTTTGAGAGAGTAAAATTAGCAGGGTTGTGAAGACATGCTTTGTGAATAATTCTCATTGCAAAGTAAATCACAATGATTTTGCAGCTAATCTAAAATGGAGAATAGAGAGCAAGAAATGGGGGAGGGAAGGGTGGAGAAAAAGAAAAGAAGAAATACTGTTTTTTCCTTATTACTTTCTCAATTAGAGTTGCTAAGAAAATTCCCATATCTCACTGAATATTTATTGAGGAAGGCCTTTTGTATTTAACTCACAGACCAAAAGAGAATCAGCTAATAATAATATGTAACAATTGTCGTGCCTTCACCTATTTCTGAGTGTCTAGTGTGATTCAAACAGTGATTCAAGTTCTGGGGATTTAGTAGGGAATAAAACAAGCAAAGCCTCCCCTTACAGAGTTCATGTTAGAATAGACACTAGGCAAATACCTGCTTTAGAGAGTGACAGATGCTATTTTTAAAGGATGATCGGAGAAGATACTTGAGCAAGAGACTGTGATGAATTGAAGTAGCTAGCCATGTGAATATCTGGGCAATGAGTGTTTCAGGGCAAAGAGCAGCCACTGAAAACGCCCTGAGTCAGCAACATGCTGAGGCTCATCAAGAAACAGAAGGAGTCCAGATTGTTCAGGAGTTGACACTGAAGGAAGCAACAGGGAAAGGAAATGAGGTAGAAATTTACCAGGCACCAGACCATCACAAAACACAGAAATCTAGGACCTCTTGGGGCAGGATTTTAGAGCATAGAAGTCAATATATGAAAGTATTTGTTGAAGCCCTCACTGTGGAAAGAAAATTACTATTTTCAACTATTCACACTGTTTCAATGTATTGATACAGAACCTATGCCTTTCTGGATTGTCTGCCATGGTCCTTTAAACAGAGCTACCTTCCCAGCATGCCCAGAAGTTGGCCAGGACTTCCTCCAACCTAACAATTCAGCCCCTGCATCCCTACTTAGCTTGTGGCAGGCCACCAGTTGCAGATTCTTTCTCCTTGAAGAAACTCTTCGGACCCTACTTTTTAGCTTTACAAACACAACTCTATGACTCCTTTGGTTTCATCCCACCCACTTGCCTCTCACCTCAGTCCTAGAAGTTTCCATACCTGCTGTTGCACATCTCTGTCACCTCCCACAAAAACATGCATACACACGTACACAGACAAACACCCCAACTATCCCACCTGCACCAGGTTGCTCCAACAAGATGCCAGCTATGACTGGTTATCTGGAACACTCAAATGATTAATCTTGATAACAGCATCATATACAGGACCCCATGGACATAAATTACTAGTTGATCTTTCCTGACTACCCACAGCAATATTTGAAAAGCTCAGTGAAATTAGACATCACCTGGACAACATTATTGTGTGTTTGGATTTGGATGTTCATAATCAAAAGAAGCTCTTCCATAATATTCTTATGTCTATTACAGCTATATCAACCCATTCTCCAATGCAACAAAAGCCCATAAAGGGGGTAGGGGGGAGAGAGAGACAGAAAGAGAGAGAGAGACTTTGATTAGTGAAAGAATCTTATATCTCATCCCTGCTGATCTTCCCCCTGCAGCCTTAAAATATTAGAGGTTTACAGGGCTCTTCGCAAAACTTGGTCATAGGAAAGTGACTCTTCAGGTTCCTATGCCTGATAACAGATATGATATTTTTATCTGATGTTTAAGGCCCTTCTGTGTCAAAGAGAAGTAGATGGCAACTCTCTATAAGCAATACTGTTGCAGCAGTTAAAATTGAGGCAAACAGATATGAAATAGTAGATTTTTTTCCAAGTAGAGGAAAATAGGGATGAGCTGACATGTTTGCACAAGAAATCATGGACTGAATTTCCAAGAGTTCAGGTCTCAATTCTTTGCAGAGGTTATTAGAGTCCAGCATCTTCTTTAAAGTTACTGATACATACAACAAGCATCACTGCTTCCTATCTCAATCCCAGGGCATCTTCCCATTAGCCTTCCTTTATTCAAACAGAAGATACTCCTTATTGGAAACGTAACCCGTTTTTAATCTATGACAAAATGTTGCCCCTTCACCCATAGTTATTTATTTCCATAATAACTCATTTATAGGAGAACTTATTAAGAACCAAACAAACAAAAAGAATGGAAAAGGAGAAAATTATGCTCAAAAATTATTATCCATGATTTTATTAACCTTCATTTTCCCTCTGAAAATCCCCACAGGTTAGAAAAACTACAAGCTTCAGGAACAACCATGTAGTTTGGCCTTATCAGATAAAGATTACAAAGTTGAATTTTTAAATGATCACACTGATGTGCATGTTTCTTAATTAAACCTCATCATCATTTTTTAAAAGCTTGAATGAAGAACTGGCAATGGCTGAAATCTCTTTTAAAAAGAAGTAATTTCATGGATATGACAATATACAAATGAATGAATAAATAAAATAAAATAACGTTCAAGGATTCCTATGAAAACACAGTTCTTTCCTAGTTCTATAAAATTCTACTGAGTTATATCAAGTTAATATGACTATTTTAAATTTTTTCTAGGCTTCTTCTTATAAACTATATTTCCTAGATAGTATCACTTGACTCATTTTCACTCAAGATTTCCCGTTAAAATAGACTTCCCTAGCTAGAACAAACTTAGATTGTCAATGTCTGTTGCAAAACAACAAAGAATCACACTAGTGTTGGCTAACCGGTCACCTATTTACCCATTTCCTTCAAAACAATTATTTTGTAAAAGTAATTTGCTACCCTTTCTTTTACTGTGTTTCTTCCTTGTTTTCTTCTTAAGTAATTGTCTTGAAGATCAACAACTAACTGTTGTTTGCCTTTGATGGTGCAAACATATACAGTAGTTGGAGACACTGTGTTAGTGGATAGTAATAATTTCAGTAAGAATATTTACTGAGTTTATTCAATAGACTTAAATCTCAGAGAAAATGTGTTTTAAGGTAATTTTATATCCTTTGTAATATGATATTTTTTAAAAAGTGGTTTCAGTTGTAAAAGCTTGATGCAAATAAAAGTCTGTCATCTTTTCTAAGTACTTAACTATTCCATGTGACTTCTGAACACATTGTCATTGGAAAGATTAGACTAAAATGATATCAAATGTCCAATAAAACACAGAAAATCCCTCTGAATCTGCAGGGTTAGCTGGCATGCTTGCCACTTTACACATATAAACCAACAGAAACTAAGCCGGCAATGTATCTTCCAGATTCTCCCAAAGGCAGGATTTTTAGCTAAAATAAATTAGCTTTGAAGAAAGATAGAACTGGCTTTTGAAAAAATGATGACTTTTTAGATAAATCAGCTGCCCCAGAAATTCACTGTGCATATAAGAAGTGGAAATATGTACAAATTAGAAAAACACAAACTTACTGTATAATTGCAGGTGTTACTATTTAGCTGTCAGAATAAGCAAAAAAAAAAAGAAAATCAAGAACATTAGTAATTAACGGAACATGAAAAATCTAAAATGCAGTTAGTATTTGCAATTAACTGGTATTTTTCAGAAATTAGTTGTTCAGAGGAACCAACTAAAACACGTGGATAAGTTTGCTACAGAAATTTAGGTGGTAAAACTTTTAGTTTAGAAGTGAGGTCAATGCATGCTTGGTCTCTGATACCATATAAAACTATGAGACTGGCCAACCAAACTCAATGGCTCTTATTTTTAAACCTCAAATCATTTTTAATTCCATCTTATCTTACAGATTTTTCTTCTATTTCATCACACTCTCTCCATCATTGCTCAGACCTTTTTTAGCATTCCCTTAAATATTAGAATAATCTTGTACTAAACATCTTCCTGTCTTTCTTCATTTTTTGTTCATCTTATATATAGAGCCATGACTAATTGTTCCAAATCTGTTCATGGATTCCTCATTTTCTTAAGGACAAAGGGCAAACTTTGCTCAACCTCTTCCTTCTTCTGTGAGGCAGGCTGGTGGAGGCTCCATCATTGAAAACACTGCTGGAACATAGGAGGGAAAAGAAAAGGAAACCCAGGAAAGCTGTGTAAGGACAAATCTCATGGTCATACCCAGGTTCAAAGGGGTAAGGAGGCACAATTCTGCCACGTGCCTAGGAGAAGGAGAACCAGAGTATTGGTGGACAGTTCTGATGAGTATCACTGATCTACTGCTCATACACTTTGACAGCCAGAAATTGTCTTGAGCCCCTATAGGAAAACTACAGTTGAACTTGGTGTAGCTCTTCACCTCTGTGGAAGAAGATTTTGCTCCTATTGCAAAGGAAAATATCTTGTGCTCCTCTAATGACATGGCTTTATTATAACAAATTGTGAGTAGCCTTAATAAGGGAACTTCTAATAGATTTGTGATCAGAAAGAATAACATCAACTAGCTAAGTATTTAATATTTTATAATTATGGAAGGCTTAGTGTGTGCGTGATACAAGACACTGCATGCATTAACTTATTTAATCCCCACAATTGACCCTGAAACAAGTATTATTACCAACATTTCACAAAGGAGAAAGCAAAGGCACAGAGAAGTCAAGTAACTCACCCAGGCTCACACAGCAAGGGTGTGACTGAATAGGAATCAAGCACAGAAAGCCTGACTCCAGAGCTAGCCCTTTTGGCCACGGCAATGTACTGCTTCAAAGGAAATGACTTGGAAAAAAAATTATTTATTTCTTAAATTAATAATGTGGCTTCCATTCAAGAAAAAAAAATATATAAATCAAACATTAAAATAAGAAGAGCTCAGTCGTCCCTCAAATGCAGAAATACAGTCTTGAGCTCTAAACACCTCTATGTAACGTATCTTATTCCGTTTTTTGAGGCTGCACTTTACAGCTAACATACCCTGGCATGGACACCTGGCTGAAGTACTCATCAAAAGTAGATGTCATGAATGATATAAACTGAGGTCCATTTAGAGCCTTTAACTAATTGGTTAATGACTACCCTTAATATTTTATTCAGGATAAAACTTCTTCCTCCAAACAAATGATGTAGATATCCAGGATCTCAGAGTTTTCAGCCAAATACTTGGGCAAATTCAAAAATTTTTTTAGAGAAAAAAATTCTACCCACAGACACCCTTGCAGACCTTCCTCCAAATGAGAATTGAATGGCCCTCTGTTGAGATCAGAGTATGAGTCAGATTTCTGAAATTTCAAATGAGAAATGTTAGTCTTTCTGTCTGCACACCACACATATAAAGCATATGGATGTCACCTTAACTGACGACACAGAATATCTGCACTACAGCTCTCCTGAGAGGATCCAGCCAAGAATCTACTACAGCCCAGCATTTGCAAAGAGCTCATTTGACCTATCTCATTTTAGAGAGTCAACCTAAAGAACATAATAGCTGCTCACTCCTCTAGGTTCTTCTAATTCCATCATTGCATTAGATCAGCTTGTGAGATAATAAACTTCATTGGTCTTATTATCTTGACTTTTTTATCCTACCTCTCCTCAAAATTCTTAGACTTTGTAGGGTTAAATTATAGTTTTATGAACCTAGTTTTCATATAAGTTCCATAGAAAATATTCACTAAATCACATTTCCCTAACTCCTACTAATTTGTTGGCAAAGAAACCATGTTGTACAGGAATCCCTGTATACAGATCTATAAGAAATGCTGGTTTCAGAAAAAAAATTAACTTTTGTATTTATTATCTAGTACTACATAAATTATCACAAAATCAGTGAATTGAAGTGACATACATTTTTTATCTTTCAGTGTCTGTCGTCATACATCCAGCTACTGCTTAGATTCATGATCTCCTCTGTTTCATGGTTTCTCATGAAGGTGCAATTCAGGGGCTGGCCAGGGTTGCTGCATCGCCTGAAGGCTCAACTGGATTTGAAGGGAATCCTTCAAAGTTTGTATTCATGGTTGCTTGGCAGAATCCTGTTCCTTAAAGGTTATTGGACTGAGGGCCTCAGTTCCTTGTTAGATATTGACTGGAGTCTGCTTTAAGGTTCGTGCCATGTGAGCCTCTCCGCCATGACAATTTACTCTATCAAATCCAGCAAGAGAGAGAAAGCCTGCTAGCCACAGAAATGGAAGTCACAATTTTATGTAGCAAAATTACAGAAATGACATCTCATCATCGCCTTTATTGTAGTCTATTGCTTAAAAGCAAGTTATTAGTCCAGGCTATGCTCTAAAGGAGGTCATTTTAGAGTCTGCTGGCTGCCCCTTGCTAGATTAAATTTTAATTCATCTCATCATCATATTTTCCTTTCAATTCTGGCAAACTTTTAGGGAAAGTTACAAGTTTTCTAATACATTTTTCTCCTCACGCTAAATATTTTCTAAATAGTTTCTATTTACGTAACTGGTCTTTAATACTTCATTATTGCTAGGAACTCCAAATATATTTTGGAACAAGGTATGCATGTTAAGAAATTAATAACAGATGGTTATCTGGCTACTCAGATCAAGGTGTTAATACATCAACTCAATAATACATTCAAGAAAATATAAACTAGGAAGACCTTTGAAGAATGCATTTCCTTCTTGCTATCTCCTTTAAAGCAGTAATGACCAGAAAAATCTCTCAAGGCTGAATGTGAAAAAAATTATGGATTTTGACTGCTGAATATCATGTAAAGAAAAATTATGGTAATAACATTTAGGAGAAAAGGACAACTTCTTCAATGATATGTAATCATACCTAGAGTGAAAATCTTTCCCTAATGTCATGACACGAGTGCTAAAATCATAGGTGAATTTAACTTAATGATTCTGCCATTTTGCTGTGCCTTTATTTACCTTCTAATTGTAGTTGTAAAATAATTCAGCATTTACATATTTATGCCTTGCATTTCTTGCGGAATTTTATGCAATCGTGAAATAACTCCATTTAGCAATCAAGACACTTAATTTAAAGCTTGCCTCACTTCCAATGCTGGGTGACAATCATAAATAATTTTAATGACAATGTCAGGAATGTTAGAAATATTTGAAGGATCATTTGTTTTGCCTGAGCAATATACAGAACTGGAAAGAAGGAATGATTTACATTTTGGTAATTAGACATTTCTAATCCCTTTCATTCTTCAGTCAAGCTATAACCTACTGAATTGAAAATGTAAGATGTCAGTGCTTTTCAATACAAGAATACATATTTTCTGGCATTTCTCTGGATTGAACAAAACTTTGGTTTCCATGGATCCCAATTACAGTTTCAAGTTGTTCAGCACCACAGCAACAAGACAAAGGAGAAATTCATTTAAAGCTGTTGAACTTTTAACATGGAATATAAAGGAAAACCAATGAATGCAGGCTTGGTACATGATTGCTCCCTAGGAGCCTGACAGATCCTGACCAATCACTCCAGTGCTAAGGAATGTCCTTTCAAGACAATGCCACCAGGCAAGTTCACGCAAGAAGAACAAAAAGGTTAAAATGGAACTAATGATTTCATGTCTTTTATTTAAATTGGCTATAGCCTCACCTAGGAGTAACTGTCTTTAAGCTTATCTCCTGGTTAATTGATGAATATCTGTGTAAAATACTCAATAAGTTCACCAACAGTCATTTCAGTAGAAATTTGAAGACTTCCTGGGCTGGCCTGGAGATGGTTATAGGATCAAAAAAAATTACATTGTTTTAACAGATCCCATAAAATAGACTCATCCTGATGGAACAGTGTGGTATGCATAGAATTAATGAGCTCCTTAAGAGTAACAACCAAACCTCTTTTTCCCTCTTTATAACCCCAACATTCAGCATAATGCCTGGCCCACAGTATGTGAATTTTAGTAGTTTTTTTAGAAGTCAATTAAAGACATTTTCTTCTACAAAATAGGTGATAATTTCCATTTACTGTCATAAGTATACTGTTTTTGATATTCAAGGGATTGGTAATTAACAATCTATAAAATGTCCAGAGAAACATAATAAAAGCAGAAGTAAATTTTGAACTGGAAAGCAGAATGAGAAGTCAATAAACACTTTACATCAACTCATTGTGTGCTGGAAATGTACTGTAGAATTCTATGTAGGACAATATAGAAGGATTTTGCAACCTGAGTTAACCACTAAAGTTTACAATAGCATCAGATTATCTCAATAGTGAAAATCTTTTTCCAGAGATACATCATAATATAGATTATATTAATTTGAATGTATCTATAATTATGTCCATCTGTTGTGTTGTGGGTGGGGAGGAGGTCTCACTTTATGCACTGTGTTTAATACAACATTTTCCTGGCTGGTATTCCTCCTTCTGAATTATTTGATTTCTACTATTTGCCCTGTTGAAAATCTTTAAAAGTCTCTAAAATCTTCTAATTTACTTTAATGAGGGAAAACACAGTTACCTTGTAAACTAAGAGAAGTCTGTGCATTTCTAGCTATGTATCCATCTATCTACTTATCTAATTCCTTAAGTAAGTTTTAAACCAGGGCTGTACCTTATCCATAGGAAAAATACACAGATCACACCCATCTCTTTCCACATACGGTGAGTTTGCTTTCAAGCCTAAAGAACAGCGCTAGGCAGACATCTATGTGTGTCTCATACTCTGTTTCGTCATGTAGGCAGCTTGGAATTTCAAATGATTGAGTTATTTTGGGGTTCCATGAATTTTATTATTTGATATGATAGACAGTAATGAGTAGTTCAGAATGAGCGTCCACAGGTACAAAAGGACTCACTAGTTAATTTAAAAAATGAATAAACTACTAGTGGGTTGAAATAACATTATCAGTGAATTGTTACTGATGCATAGAATCAAACTTTGAACACTCAAACCAAGAGATGAGAATTCATATTCTATTAGGTTGGTGCAAAAGTAATGGCAAAAATCACAATTACTTTTGCACCAACCTAATACAAGCAGAAATATATAAAAATGTCTAGTTCTCAATTACAGAATTTGGAACATTTGGTTAATCAGCACCCCAATTTAATTTTTGATTGAACATATTGCCTCTTTTCTCCATACACATGAAAGATTCAAAGCAGCTAGCTAAGAATACAGCTGTTCAGTTCCACTTCCCTTTTCCAGAGTGCTTTAAAGTTCAGCTAACCATTGTAGAAACCTAAGTTACTACAACAAGACCTGAAAATATTTTCTAACAAAATAAGTATTGCATTTCTTTCATTTTAATTCAAATATTATTGAGTGCCAAGTCTGTCTAAAGCACTACTGTCAGCATCAAGAGTATGTCTATTACTATTGAGTTTAAAATTGAGTAAAGGGACACAAGAGGATATAACAAGAACCTGGAGAGTGCCTTAGGAATTCAGAGAAAATTTCAACATAGAGAATTCAGAAGAAGCTTCAGAAAGAACAACAGTTGAGCTTGACCTTGAAGAAGTATCATATATATTCTGACCATAAGCAGAACAGTGAACATGCCGAAACCCTGTGTCTACTAAAAATACACAAATTAGCCGGGCACAAATGGTGGTGCATGCCTGTAATTCCAGCATCTCGGCAGTCTGAGGAAGGAGAATCACTTGAATCCGGGAGGTGGAAGTTGCAGTGAGCGGAGATCGTGCCTCGGTGACAGAGCAAGACTCCATCTCAAAATTAATTAATTAATTAATTAATTAATTAAAATGATGCTTGTTACCATGAAAGGCCATGTTCAAACCTGCTGACAACTGGAAGTTTTCTTTTAAGTTGGCTTCAACTACTTTCCCAAACCCACACTGGACAATTAAATTGTTGTCTTTTATTGACAGCTCTTGTTGGGTGATGGAGAGGACTCAGAACCCACTTGTACTTTTTTCCTATATACTTACAATTTATTATTTGTTCCCCTAAACAGAATGTAAACCCCAAGGAAGAAGGATTTAGGGCTCTTTTGTTTTCACTATAGAAACCAAGTATCTAAATGGATGTCTGGATTAAAAGTGTCTAAAATAACTCAACTTTTTAATTTGTTTGTTTGTTTCTAACTGTGGTAAAAACATTTAACATGAGGTCTACCCTCTTAACAAAGTTTTAAGGGTCCAATGCAGTGTTGTTAACTACAGTCACGATGTACAGCAGATCTCTAGGATTACTCATCCCTCATACCTGAGATTGTAACCTTGTTGAAGAATGACTCTCCTTTTCTCCCTACCCCAAGTCCCTGGCAACTACTATCTACTCTATGCTTGTATGAGTTTGATTATTTTAGATACCATATATAAATGGAATCATTCAGTATTTGTCCTTCTGTGACTGGCTTAATTCACTTCACACAATGTCCTTAAGGTTCATTCACATTGCTACATGTGACAGGATTTCCTTCTTTTTCAAAGCTGATTAATATTGCAGTCTATGTAGATACTACCTGACTTTTTAATAGGTAGAATGCAGTGGAAAGCCTCCTGAAGGAAGATCATAAGAGGTGACACAGTTTCCCGTTCTCTTTCTTTGTCTTGGAACAAGCAACTTGGGATCCCTAAACCCAGCTACCCTGAAATCACCATGCTTACAAGACAGAACAGAGAGATATGTAGAGTATGCAGAGTCAGAGAGATACCCAGATTATTCCAACCCCAGCTTTCAAGCTGTCCCAGATGATGCCAAGTAGAACAGATCATTCTCCTTGCCAAATCCTGCCTGAATTTTAGATTCCTGAACCAAATCAATATTGTGGGTTTCTAATTTGTTTTTTAAGTGTGATTAAATGAATTTTAGTAAATTTACAGACTTGTGAAATGATCACCACAGTCCAATTTTAGAACATTTCCAACACACCAAAAACATCTCTCATCCCTATTTGCAGTCACTTCCCATTCCCCACCACAAACACTGCCCCCAGCCTCAGGCAACTGCTGACTTCTGTCTACAGATTTGCATTTTGTGGACATTTCAAGTAAATAAAATCGTACACTATGCTGTCTTTTGTATTTAGATTCTATCACTACACTTAATGCTTATGAGGTTCATACATGTTGTAGCACTTATTAGTACTTCATTGCTTTTTATTGCTGAGAAGCATTGCATTTTATGGACACACCACATTTCTTTTATCTGTTCACCAGTTGATGAACATTTGAATTGTTTCCCTCCGGCTGCTACAAATGGTGCTCCTTTGAGTGTTAATACATAAGTCTCTTTTTGGATAGGTGTTTTCATTCATCTTTGGTAGATAACTAGGAGTGAAATGTCTGTGTTGTGCGCTAGCTGATATTCAACATTTTAAGAAACTCTAAACTGTTTTCCAAAGTGACTGTATCACGTTATATGCCTGTTAGCAATATATAAGCTTTCTCGAAATTCTTCGCATTATTTGTCTTTTTGAACCTGTCTTTTTTAATGTCATTATTTTAAGCCACAACATTGTTTCAGGAGAGTTTATTACAGAGCAATGTATTTCTACAACAATCTTATCATTTATTTTTTCCCTCCACCTCTAAAATATGTTTCACCAAAGCATGGATCTTTAGCTACATTGTTCACCAATCTAACCAAAACATCTAGAAATTTGCACATTAAAGGTGCCACCAATATCTAAGGTTTGAGTTTTCAAAACAACCACATCAAGTAGGAACTGTAATTACTGTTTATGATATTAAAGCTGAAGTACACGTAACAAGGAGTGTCTCAGTTAACTGATTTTTTTCTCTTCTCCTAAAATTCACAGCACTAATGAGTTTTAGAAGGTTGTAGTATGACCACGTAAGTTATTCAAGCAAATTAAGTTATTCAAGCAAATTATATATGTAATATATTATATGTAATAATATTATTATATACATATACATTATATTATATTTATAATATATAATATATTTTATATATACTATATAATATATAATATAATAATATATTAATAATATATATAATTTATAAATAATTAATTTATATTTATAATATAATAATATATTAATAATATATTACATGTAATTATATTATTATATGTATATAATAATATTATTACATGTAATATATATTCACCTAAATTTGTTTATATTTACATATTTTTATATGTGCATGTATATATTTTATATATATACATATGTATACTATATAATATATGGTATATATAATGTACACATATACATAATTATATGTATTATACACATATGTATAATATGTATGTATGTATTAATATGTATTATATAAAATATATAATATATAAATATATATGTAATATAATTAACCAATTTAGATAAATTTAGACTAACAGAACAGGTTGGATTATAAGTGTGTGTGTGTGTGTGTGTGTGTGTGTGTATATATACACACACACACGGACATATGGGCAAACAATCTATTGCCTCTGGGGGTCCTTAACATAAGGCAGGCATAATGCATAGTCCTAGAAAGGAAGACATTGAAATGTCAACTGACAAAAAAAATATTCACCATAGCTAACAACTGTCTGCCTCTGATGTGCTTGTTAGTCCCCTGTGGAGGAAACACGTATGGAAAAAATGCTCTAGAGAAGCCCTGAAAAACTTCAGCCAAGCAGGTCCCTGCTGATAACTCAGTGGGTATGCTCAGCCAGAGGTCTAGGGAGACAACATGCATTTAAAAGCATTTTAACCTGTGCTCCTGTGATACCCAGGAATCTAGCCCAAGAGCACTTTTTCTCATAGCAGAAGGGAAAAGAGAAAAATCTGGAAGCCCAGAAGTGAATAAAAATCATTTATATGAATAGTTTTCCCAAGGAAATATATAAACTGTGCTCGAATTACAAGCTCATATTTTCAAGAAAATCGCGTGTATTTCAATCTTTATCTTTCATAAAAGAAAAATGACATGTTTTAAAATTGAGAGGTAGAGAGAGGTAATTAAAAGTCACAGTTGAATATTAAAGATACAAGAAAAAATTTGAATATCCCTACCTCGGGATTACTGGAAAGGTCACTGTGATAAATTTAGAATAACAGAACAAGAAATTATAAAAATTATTTTGGGTCAATTCCCTGCCTTTAAGCAATAATTAAACTATTGTATAAAGAGAATTATCTATTATGGTCTTAAAATTTTCAAGAGAAAATTATCAATATTCATTAACAATATGATCTATAATTTTACAACTATTAGTCCAGATCTGCGAAACATCAAGTGAAAAACAATAACTCAGATAATTATTTTTTTAGTAAAACATAATCCAGAAGTGCCATCTGCAGAATTCTGGTTTAACTGAATTACTATTATATTTGCCATTACAAGTGAAAAATTTTTTTGATGTGTTCCTTAAAACAATAACTCACTAAACAAGACCTCGGGGACCTGGAAAAATGTGAGCTTCCCAAACTTTCCTTTGGCAGAAAGTCACTAAACACATTGGGTAGAGGATGAATTTTCATTAAGGAAAAGAAGTGTATCTGGAGGAATCTAGTCAAAATGTGAAAGTATGAGTCTATTGTTGGAATCTTGAAATGGAACTAAAATACAATAATAGTAACAAAAATAACAAAACGCTATCATTTGTTAAGCACTAACTACATGGCAGGCCCTGTTGTAAGCTCTCACTTGATTACAACATTATAACCTTTAAAGGCATCCTCATATTATAGGACTCTCTGAAAGTGTCTGAGTTCATATCAAGCTCTATCTGACATCAAAACCTATTCTTAACCACTCGACACCATGAAATAGGGCCACTAAGTTGAAGCAGTAATTAATATCTAGAACTGAATTTTCATCCACATGTTGACTAGCAAGAGGGTTTAGACTAACAAATAGTCATCAGCAGAGAAAAATATGCTCACCTCTATGGTTTGCAAATGAAAATCAAACTTCTGGCTTAAAAGGTATACACAATTAGAGAGCTGGAATTTGAATCTCCAAAAGGTGAATAAGCATAGAGTTAGGCAGAATGAAAACATACGCAAAAAGAAAAAAAAAAACATCAATCAGACTAAATAAGGGAGTAATAATCAGAGTTTATTTTGCCCTTTATATTCTAACAGTCATTGTAAACCTACTATATTTAATCCTCATCAAGCACTGTCAAAGTAGATAGACATCTGCTTAGGTCAGATTCGCCAGAACTGCAACATGAGATGAGGATTTGCATGCAAATAATTTACTATGGAATTGCTCTGAGAAATCAGTGAGGGAGCAAAGGAAACAAGGCATGGCTATGGAAGCAGCCAAACATGAACATGGTCTCAGGTAAAGTTACTCAGAGTTGCTTCAGCCTGACCCACAGGGGAATCTTAGGTGTGTTCCCACTGGAACAAGGAAGCTGACCTCCCACATTCTCGCATCCATCATGAGTACAGTGATCCTAGGGATATGGGTGAAGTCCCAGCAGTATTTATTACAGCATTTTACCCTAATTTTATAGAGGAGAGAGGAAACAGAAACTCACGTTAGTAACTCATGGTTAATAACTTTGCCCAAGGCCTGGGAACCCAACCCAGGTGTATTTGACACCAAAACTCAAGCTCTTTCCAACACTCCATACCCTCCTGAAATTATTTCTCCACCTAAGTTGTCTGTTAGTCCAGTATTCTATTGCCCATGTTTTCTCTGCCAGTTCCTGTAAATGGTATCAAAAGGCAGTCAACCACATGCTGATGGGATTTCACAAATCCCTCCTGATCATTTTCTAGTTTTGCCTGTGCGGACCTTTGCTGCAATCAGCAGTTCCTGCTATCTAGTGCCTCAGGAACACAGTGTTACATTAACCAAAAGAGCCCTTAGGCTATAGTCGACTCCTCAGAGTGTTGTGTAATAGAATATCCCATTACAGATACTCTCAGGTTTAAAAAGCCTCGAAAGATTACATGAAAAACAGTAACACAGGGAGAGAAGTGCAGTCTTAGGGACTGGGTGTGTAAACGGCAGAGCTGAAGACTGGGAAAAACACACAGTTTGGGAAAATTATGGCAAAATATCCAGAAAAACAGATTTTTTTTCCACTTTTAAAATGTAAGTTTTGGTCCCATCTAACCAAGCCAAAAGTTGAGATTTGAAGGTTGATTTGTTCTTTTACCACCAGTACTCATTGTGGGTGGGCAGGCTACTCTGCTTCTAGATTTCCTGTGGCTCTATCTCCGCTTACATCCCTCATCTATCTCTAGGCAATCTGGGAACATCTATGCTCATTTATTTATATCTTCATAAATGTAAAACCTAGGGACCTATTTATCTAGTCATTGAAAGTCTATAAAACAGTAATGTGGGATGTAAAATATTCAGTGATTCTAAAGAGAAGAAAATTCTAAATTTGACCTTATTTCCATGGGACCATTAATCAATGACACTAAATATTATCAGCTTGATAATTGTACATAAATAAGGATTGAATCTCTGATGAGGGATTAAACTAAAATTACTTCAAAAGCAAGCACATCCAAGTCAATGTTTTATAAAACCTTGACTGAGTCATAATTTTGCTTGTCATCTTTTTCATAAAAGAAGATTTACACGTCCTATGATAGCACTAACCTTTTCAAAGACTGGCAAGTACACTTCATATATTTAAGTAATTATGAATTATGACTCCTAAATTATGATATCTAAAAAAATCAGAGAAATATGGGAAAAAAGAATAACTCAAATAAGAGAAAAAAGTTACTTCATTCTATTTTCAACTCTTTTTGTGTTTAACTCAGTAATATTATAACATCTGATACTTTTGGTTACGTGATTCTAATTTTCTTTACTTGACATTATATGTAGGAATATAAACACATTAGTTTATTCAAAGTTATTTATTGAATATTTACTCTGTGCCAAGTGTAAGGTGTTTTATTGCACTAATGTTGTTTAGGAGTTCAGGAGGGAAGGCATGCTATATTTCATGATGACTCTCACTCATTCAGTCATTCAACAGGCATTTATCAAGTATCATCTCTAGTACTAGGGCAGAGAAGTGAATCAGAATCATTGCCCTCCCCTTTGGAGCACAGTCTTATTTGTGTGTTTCTCTCTCTCTCTCTTTCTCTCTCTCTCTCTGTGTGTGTGTGTGTGTGTGTGAGAGAGAGAGAGAGATGCAGAGAGAGACAGAGAGAGTAACACAGCATAGTAAGAGGTGGACATAAGACACAGACGGCTGTGGCACAGAGGAATAATGAACGCTACTCAGCGATCCGACAGCTGGGACTTAAAGGACAGAGTGTTGCAGCTGTGAGGGGCAGAGGTAGAACAGTTTCTTACATATTTGTGACAGCAGGAAAAGCATATGCAAAGATAAGGAAGTACAAAAATCTAACTGCAAGTGTTTCAGTCTGGCTGGAGAATGGTGTTGGACAGGAAGTCCAGGAGGGCACAGTCAGTCATGCTGTACAGTCTGGACTCCATCTGACAGAGAATTGGAAACTATTATGGGGCTTTAAACAGGGAACATTTTGTAACATTTGATCTGCAATTTTAAAAGATCATTTTGAAAGTATTATGGAGAATGGATTAGGAGGGGAGAAGAAGAGATTTTGAGTCAGAGAGACCAGTAAAAAGCCAACAAATAATGCAAACCTAAACTAACAATAACAGTAATGAAGGAAGCATATATTTCAAGAGTAACCCTCTTGTGCCAGCTTTTACACTAAGCATTTGAATGAAATATCTTACTGAATCACTTTCAACAACCACAACCCTGCCTCCCCCTAACATTGACATCATTAACCAGTGCCTTTCATGAAAGAGGAAATGAGACATAAAGAAGTTAAGGAATTTGACAAAAGTCACAGAGCTAGTAAGTGATAGAGCCAAGAATCAAATTCATGGACACATTTGCGAAATTTGGATGAGGTATAACTGAAATAATTGAATAACTTATTAGCGCAAGGAAGTGAGAGGATGGAGGAGCCACAGTAATTACACCATAACTGGTCACATTCCTTTTCCCTATTGTACCAAGATTATCAGGAAGCGTGGGGAAGAAGGGCAATTATTACATATATAAAGACAACCTAAAGTCTGACAATAATCAGGTAGCCTACACTGTCAGGAAGGAATAACAGCTACACCCAGGCTGTGTATCTCCAAGAGACACACAAGCTGTGGGAAACCGGTGTTTGTCTTGGCAGTTATAACTCCTATCTTCCTCGTGGATGTATTCTTGTTCTAAGAGAAGCAGTAAGAGACTGCATAAGAATTCTTCCACACATGCACTAGATTCATAAGCCCAAGGAAAGATTTCTATCATTACTTTAAAAAATGGCAGATGAAAATTATTCTAGCAAATATCAAAGTAAGGATGCCAAACACCCGATTGGGAGGCATATATTTCACATCCTTCACACAATTTATATTCCCAAACTCTCTACAGAATTAAAAGCTAAATAAAGAAGGAACATGTGGTATAAATTAGAGAAAAAGCAATGGTGCCATAACAGCGAATAAATTTAAACCCTCTAGCAGTAACGTGTACATTCCATATGTTTTATGTACATATATACTATGTTACTGTGTGGGCTTTTATGGCTACATATTTTTCAGAAACAATAATTTATATATTATTTGAGAATGTACAATAAATTGGTAAATGTTATCAAGGTAAATTTAATTCACAGCCTGAAGGAAAACATAGACAATTAGAACACATTCCTCTGTAAACACATATCATCTATATAAGAACTATTATAATTTTACTCATATACCTATCCATAATTTAAAAATGTCCCTCTAGTGGTCTAATAAGAAATTATTTCTTTCATATACAATGAAGTTTTGAAATAGCACTCTTCATAAACCATCCCCAAACATTGTTCCTTCAGGAAAACTACTTATTTGCAGAGTCACAAAATAATTGAGTTGATAGGGACCATAAGAAACATCTAATACAGCATTTCCAAATCAAGTTACATGAAAGGGTTTAGCAAGATGAGTTTTCCAAGAATAAGGAACGCTCTTGTCAAGTGTCTGAGAAACTGGGTTATACCAAGTTCAGTATATTTCTCTACCAAAATCCTTTTAAGCTATATTTTAATATGGTAATGAGCAAGGAAAATTTCCAAGAGGGCTGTAATATGTCCAGAGATCTTTCTAAATTTATTTGAACACGGAAGTTTTTAATTCTAGGAATAATGATCAATATCAGTGTTCTCTAAAATTTAATCTTATTTCACTACCTTCATTTTATACCTAACACTGAGGTATGAAAGGATAAGTGAAACTTCTCAGAGTCATAACATTCAAGAGCCAGGACTAGAAACCTGTTTTCTAAATACCTCATGCAACTCTGATTTTTTTTTCTGTGTGGGGCGGGTTGGGGGGCATCATTTTTCTTAGGGTACATTATTTAGCCACTAAAATGACAACAACTGAATTAGCCAACAGTACAATGAGAAAATCCTAACAATGGTCACCATTTATGAGTGCCCACCACATGCCAGATTAAAATCAAAGTCTCTAACAACTTGTCTTTCCTTCTTACAACAATGCAATGTAGTGAGGTACATATTATTTTCCCCATTTTACAGTGGAGGAAAGTGACTGGGAGGCATTTGTAACTGGTCACACAACTTGAAGAGACAAAGCAGGTCTGGCTGACTCAGATCCCCTGCCCTTTGCACCTGACCACCCCCACTTCATATCTGAAAAAGTTATGCTCTTCAAAACACTCACCCTGAATCTATCTCCCCCACTGAATTCCAAAAAGTAAAAAGTGGATATCTTTCTGAAATAGTCATTTTCACTTACTACAACAGCCATTTGGAATTCATCAAATATTGACTTCTCCATATTATAAAAGAACCACCACTTTGGATCACTTTTTTCTTTATCAGATTTCTGGTTTTAAAACCCAATGGCCAAAGACATTTTTTCTGTTTAAAAGGTTAAAAATGATAATTGAGGTATATTCTAATCATTAAATTCAAGAAGAACTAGCCAAGGTATTCTAGGCATAAATTCCCCAAAGCTAGTAAAAGTGACTTTAAAAGTAACTAAAGTGACTGAAATACTGTCTAATCAACACAACAAAAAGTAAATTAGAGTTTTCATAGTGAGATTCAATATAACCTGTTTCTAGACTACAGAAGAGTCCACCGAGCCAATATTTTAAGTAGATTCAAACTAATTCACCATGATTCCTTCAAATAATATACAGACCTATTATGAACCACAACATTACAATAATATTGTATGAACCAAATCAAAATCAAACTCTCACATGTCTGCATATTTTAACAGAATAGCAAATGTAGACCACATACCACAACCAGCAAGATAATATTAACAATAATGGCTTTAAAAAATAGCTAATCAAGCCACCAAAATATATAAAATGTTCATCTACAGTCTGCTTTGAAATCAAACAAAAATAAATAAAGTGAAAGACATGGTTCCTGTCTTATTTTTTTCACTGATGAGTATTAGAGGAATACTATAGCCTTGAAACATCCATCAGACAGCAAGTAGAAATAATTTGCTGACTTTTGCTATTTTGTTTCCAAGTCATAGAGCTTTATTAACAATAAGTCTGATCCCAGCAGCAAGGGCACTGATGTGACTGACACCCATAGTAATAAAAATATTACCCTTTGAGGCTTGTCAACTCTTCTTGCTACAGGCAGCTTGAGGAGATCCCTTGACAATGATTCATGGCTTGAAACTTATAGCCATCTGCTCTCTTGAAGAATGCCTCAGCCAAGGTGAAGAGGGGAGTTTTCGCAGCTGTATTCTTTTTCCTTCTAAAGTCTACAGAAAAGCATCCAACAAACCACAAAAATCTGGCACTAATTTGAATATGGCAGACATTATCCTCCATATGTTCTTGTTTCAATGGACTCTTTTTACAGTAACTATCTCATTTGATGCCATTTCTTTCCTCTCTTCACGATGTGAAGTGTCAATTTTTCTCACTCTATAAACTTCCTAATATCCTTTCCATCCTATGCAGTTTACAGGTATTTGTCCATCTCTATTTTAATGAAAAGCATGTTTTACTATTGATAAAACTTAAGAGTTCAACTAAATTTTATCAAGTTAAATTATTTGTTTTATGTTTAAGGAAACCAAGGTGAAGTAAGGTAAATTAATCATTGTAAAGTCACATAGCCAGTCAGTAGAATAATTAGAATTTGACCACTTGTCTCCCAATGCCCCACCCAGCATTTACTACCCTATTTAAGAGAAACTTCAGTGTCTCTGCTGTTCTCACTTAGATAGCTTAATGAGGAATAGTTTCTGGCTCATTTATCACTTAACAAACCGCAAGGAAAATGTCAGATGAACCAAATATTCGGCATTTTTATTGAACCAACTGAGAAGAAATATGTACAATTCCAGAAGGATACTTCTTTTTCTTATATAAAAAAAGAAAACTTTTAAAGATAAAGGTAAAACTCAGTTTTACATATCTTCACATCATATTCCCAAATGTGATTTCAAATAAGTTCTAAGAAAAGCTAGCATATGCAAATTAGATAATTATATTATAGAGGCAGGTCTATTGTTATCTACAGACACCAAGTAAATTATCACAGGATTCAATTGCTGGAAATAGACAGTGGGTATGAAGATACATAAAAGATAAGACAACTCAGAAAATCATTCTCATAAGCCACATATGAGGTCTAGTTTAGGTCTACTTCATACATTATAATCCTGGGACAGGATTGAAGGAGCTCAAGGAGCTATGGCTACCAACAGTATGCCTCCCTCATATCTCAAGAAGGCTGGTAGAAACTTACCTTGGCTCAAAACTCACACACAGGCCATTCTTCCACATTCCATTGACCAAAGTAAACCACTTAGCCAAGACCAACACCAGTAGGTGGTGAGCCATGCCAAGAAAAAGGAAAGGAGAACAAATCATGAGCAAATAATTCACCCTATCACTGTCACAGGGACAACAGCAGTTTTAGTGAAATGCTAAAGGCAAAAATAAGATTTAAGTGTGTTTTAGAAAGAATGGGAAGAGAGGGAATTGGAAAGATTGAGAAGAAAATGTTTTCAATGACTTTTTCTCAAAGATAACAAAGAATGTCGGCAGGTAAAAAAGGAGGAATTTATTTTGTTTGGAGGAATGTCTTTTTATTTTATAAAATGTATATTAGCTGCTTTTCTATTGATGAAAATAATCCTGAAAATAGTAAAAATTAATGATTTAGGACAGAAGTTGTAGGATTGGGACGAATTTCTTGTGCTATGTCCTTGACTAAGTAAGAAAGGAAAAGGGCTTACATGAAAGAGGATAGCTGATCCATAGAGAAGAAGATAGAAAATGTATCTATGGTAATGGGAAGAAAGTAATATGTGCCAAAACAGGCAGTTGGTTCAAAGTTGTGATGAAAGCTTATGAAAGATCTTTCCTGGTTACTTCAATTTTCTCAGTAAAACAGAAGCAAATGTCATTGGCTGAGAAAAAGGAGGGATATAAAATGCTGAAGATTCCAGAAGGCAGGAGAGGAGACATTATTGTCATCTAGAGAATGAGTGAATGAAGGAAGAGAGAAATAGAATGAAATTGTCAATGTCTTTTGATAGTGAAAGATCATAAAAAGCCTATGCAATTAGAAGCTATTGGTTAAACAAAAGCTATGAGGGAATTTTAGGTTTAGCTGTAATACATAAAAAGCTTAGAAGTTATCACGCCTGCATCTTTAAGACAATAAAGACTGAACAAATTGAAAATCTATGGCTTTTCTTGGACCCATGAAAGAATTAAAGTCACAGGACAAACTGCCACCCCTAAATCTGGAGAGAAAAGTGAATATAGAGATCACAGCCAAGATAAACTTACTTGGAGCAGAAGCCACTGTAGCTATTAACTGGTAGGAATATTTAAAAGGTAATTTGACCATTTGCTAGAGGTTGAGTATACACTACCTTGAGAATTAGAATTCCTAGGGACTAGTCTTATGTGATATTCACATATTCAGGAATTTTACCTCCACGGACACTACAGGTTCTCATAGTAAAGACTGAAAGAAAAAGAAAAAAAAAAAAAAAAAACCAACAACAACAACAAAAGCTTGTTTTGGAAGAACATAATCAATAATTCTGAAATATGCCCAGAGCATTTACCATAAGAAAGGCCTACTTTCTAAGGGAAAAGATGGCTCATAAAATTCATTTATTATCTAAGAAATGGGAAATTATCCAACTCCAGCCCCCTCTAGCTTTTCCATCTTACCTAAAGGGAGATATAAAAAGTTAAGAAACATTATACGGGTGACAGTTTAAAAACACGCTCCCAATTAAAAATGGAGATGTAGTCGTAAGTTTTCAGAATGCTTCTCCTTGCCCACATCTTATCACCATGCTAACAGATTTCTAGTATAACAACAGTGGATTACAGTTAAAATAACTATAACACACAAACTTCACTTAAGAAGGAGTTTGTAGTAAAACCCAAAGAGCTGTTGGTGATGTGTACCAGAACAGTAGAGGAAACTGATGCTTTTGCTATGTACAGCTATAGGAAACAGTGACACAACCCAACTCCCAGACATATCAACATAAAACCTCACATTAAGTGCTTATTTGCCTCTAGTCCTATTATCTAATAAATCATGTCCAGCTTTCAACAAAAATTACAAGCATGCTAAAAGACAAAGAAAAACACAATTGAAGAAAACAAAGCAAACATCAGAAACAGTCTGAGATGTGATATAGAGTTTGGAATAATCAGATAAACAACTTTAAAACACAATGATTATATGTTAAGGGCTCTAAAGGAAAACATGCAAGACACATAGGTAATATATGCAAAGAGATGAAAACTCTCAGAAAGAATCAAAAGGAAATACCTGAAATAAAAAACACTGTAACACAAATGAAGAATGCCTTTGATGGACCCATCAGTAGGCTGGACACGGCCAAAGAAAGAATTAGTGAGACTGAAGGTATAGCAATAGAAACTTCCCAAACTGACATGCAAAGAGAAAAAAAGAATGAAACAGAACATTCACAAACCATAGGACAATTTAAAATGGAGTGATACATGCTAATTTGAACACTAGAGATGAAAAAAGAGATACAGAAGAAATATTTGAAGTGGTAATGGTTGAGAATTTTCTAAAATTGGTGACAGACACCAAGCAAAGATCCAAGAAGCTCAGCAAACGCCAAAGAAGATGAATACCGAGAAAAAATTACACCTAAGCTTATATATTCAAATTTCAGAAAACCTAAAACAAAAGGAAAATTTTTGAAATAAGTCAGGGGAAAAAAAGCACTTCACCTACAGAGGAACAAGGAGAACTACATTGGACCTTTCCAAATAGGTAAATCCACAGAGACAGAAAACAGATTGGTGGTTTCCGGGGGCTGAGAAGAAGGGAGAATGGAGGAGTAAATGCTTAATGAGTATGGGATTTCCTTCTGGGGTGATGAAAGCATTTAGAACTAGATTGAGGTGGTGGTTGCACAACATTTTGAATGTATTCAATGCCACTAAATTGTTCACTTGAAATTAAGTGTATATTATGTGAATTTCACCTCAATTTAAAAACGTACATTTGAGAAAAAGTAAAGGAATTAAAAAAGACATACCATACTAACACTAATCAAAATAAACTTTTAGTAGCTACACTAATTTTCAACACAGCAGACATTAAAATAAAGAAAATTTTCAGGGAGAAAGAGGACATTTCATAATGATAAAGGGGTAAATTCTATAGAAGACATAATAATCCCTAAAGTGTATGCACCTAACAGCAAAGTATCCACATATGTGAGCTCAAGTGATACAGCCACAAAGGGAAGTAGACAAATTCACTATTACAGTTAGAGACAACACCCTTTTTTTCAAACTTGATAGTTTCAGCAGGCGTAAAATCAGTAAGAACATACTTGGACAGAACAACAGCAATCATCTTGATCTAATTGGCATTTATAGAATACTTTACCCAACAGCAGCAGACTACTCATTCTTCCCAAGCTCACATGGAACATTCACCAAGATATACCACATTCTGAGCCAAAAAACACACCTTAAGAATTTAAAAGAATAAAAATCTTACAAAATTATAAAATGATCACCGCATTTGAAAATGATATTGGAAAGGGCCTTTCATTGACAGGAACTTGTTCACTATACATGTTAAAAAAAAATAGGTACATCACTATTTAATTTTTGGACAGCATGGAAAAGCACAGAATATTAAAAAGATTTATAGTAGATGTCTCTGGTATTATGGCAATTTATCTTTTAAAATGTATTTATGTAGATTTCCAGTTTCTTATAATTTACATGCATTAACCATATGATGTTCTAAATGTTTTAATGAAAATATAAAATGCCTTGACTTAGTAATTTCACTTCTTAAAACATATTATAAAATCATCAGAAGGCTGAGGATTTACATATGAATTTATTTTATATCATTATTTATAAAGAGAAAATGTGAATTAATTGAAGTGCAATAATAAAAAATTGATGTTATATTTTGATATGTTATTTGAAATACAATTATAAAGTAATATTTTGAGGAAATGACATGAGAAAGCAATCATCATATAATAAAAAGTGAAAGAAAAAATTAAATGCAAAATGTATCTGTATATAGGAGGATCCCAATTTGTTATAGTGACCTTTAATAAAGGCTATTTCATGTAATGTGAGAAGAAGTAATTTGTTTTCTTCTTTATGGTATTTGGTATTTTCTGAATTTTCTATAACTATGAGATATTCTGATTGATAAATGGATTTTTTAAAAAATACTCAATAAAATAATAAATTCAATATGATCAAGCAATTTAATTAACAATTCATCCAATGAGTACCATAAAAGCTTGATAACAGAGGAGGTTTGATTTGTTTCAAGGTGAAATGAGAGGTTATGTCACTATTTTTCAGATAAAGGGACCAGATTCCTCAAGCTGTGGAAACTCTCTGTTAGCTAAGAGGATCAATGTGTGGAGTATGGTGCCTAATTACATGCACTGTATCCTATACACTGTATTGAGAGTGCTCAATGGAAAATCATCACAATTTAGATTATAAAAATTATTGCATCACTCATTAAAATTATTGTCACATTATTTCATCTTTCTTTAAGAATTTCAAAACTGTCACCAATGATGCTTATCAGCTGTAACTGGTTAATATTTTGATTAATATAACTATATTGACAAATAAAGTCAAAGGTAATAAAATGCCCAATAAGCAGTTTTTACTTTACCCAGTTTGGATGAGTATAAATAATAAATTACGTAGAGTAAATAAATCTAAAACATCTTTTTAGTTTCTAAGGAAAACCAAAAATGGTAGAAAGACAAAATTAGTTCCCAATTTCTCCATTCTTTAACCAAAAATTTCAGATCACCTAGTGACCAGAGAAAAGAAAGGAAAAAAGGAAGAAAAGAAGGAAGGGATGGAGGGAGGAAGGGGGAAACAGAGGGATAGGAAAAAAGAAGAAGGAGAAGAAGGAAGAGAAGAAAGATGAAAGCAAGCAAGAGAAAAAAGGGAAGGAAGTAGGGAAGGAAGGAAGGAAGGAAGGAAGGAAGGAAGGAAGGAAGGAAGGAAGAAGGAAGGAAGGAAGGAAGGAAGGAAGGAAGGAAGGAAGAAGGAAGGAAGGGGGATCATTTTGAAGCTCACAGCTCCATTCTTGGCATTTTTTAATTTAATATTTAAATTTTCAAATACCCCAGAGTTATCCCAAAGATCCATAATGTGGAAGAGAGATAACAATACCTCTATTAGGGAGGAGTCTTTTATTCCTGGCGTCTTGTTTCTAGAGGAAGCTTAAACTCCTGTGACATTTGCAGGCTTCCTCTTCACTCCTTCCTATCCTCCTCAGCAGAGAGGAGGAACTTACTGACGCCTAAACTTGAGGAAAACTTGGTCCAGGATACTGTACAGTCTAAGCAGTTTCCTTCCCTATACCAGGGGTGCCTGTTCCTTGAAAGCATATTAGGCTGCTTTCTCCATGTCTGGTTTGGTAAATTTAATTATTTAATTAAGAAACGTATTTGATAGAGTGTTAGATATGTCTCACGATAAAGAACTTAGGAAATGGTACTAATTGGCTTTTAGTGCATGGCTACATGATTTTCAGTGAGCCATCCAAGGAAGAAAATTTGTGTGCATAGTTGATGACATAATAGCTTTGGTTGATGAGCTCACGCAGGTGAAGTTTCTGAGGGAGACTTGGTAAGTACATTATTATACTTCATGCAAATTCGTATCTTCTAGGAGCAAGTATTTCCTATAAGAAGCAACTAAGATTTTTTTTTTCTGTCTGCTCCCAGCATTGTTTTCACATAGAAAAAAATACATGCCTGCTCTCACTATGGCATAACACGTTAATTAAAATAGAAAATTTTGCTGGGTTCTGTTCTCTGCTGGTGGAATAGGTAGACAGATGGGGTGAAGATAATCAAAGTTTTAAAGTAAGCTAGTTTTCTCCAAAGGGGCAGTTTCATGGGCAATTCCTACACACTTCAAAGTTCCCCAAGGGAGCATCATGGTACCGGCTCATCCTCCGAAAGGCCTGCAGTAGGCTGAATATTGATTCCCAAAGACATCAAGATCCTAACTCCGGGAACCTGTGAATGTTACCTTATATGTGAAAAGAGACTTTGCAAATGTAATGAAGTTGAGGATCCTGAGATGGGGATATTATCCTGGCTTATCTGGGTGGTTCTTAAATGGAATCACAAATGTACTTGTAAAAGGGAGGCAGAGGGAGATTTGACTATAGACACAGAAGGCAATGTGAAGACTGAAGAAAGATGTTACACTGATAGCTTTGAAGACAGAGAAAAGAGCCATGAACCAAGGTATGCAGCTCCAAAGCCAGAAGAAGGAAGTGGACTCTCCTCTAGAGCCTCCAGAGAGAGGATAGTCCCGCAGACACCTTGACTTCCGCCCAGTGAAATTGATTTTGAATCTCTGAACTTTCTCATTTTAAAAGAATACATGTTTGTTGTTCTAAGCCACAAAGTCTGTGGTAATTTCTTACAGCAACCATAGGAAACTAATCCAGAGCCCACTGCTAATAATAAATAACTGCAAATATGAAAGACACCACTCACCAACTCATGTCCCGTCTCCAGCTCTTTCTCTACCTGCCCACCTCCCCTCCCACCTCTTTCTATTTTCTTGGCCCACAATAAGGACTTGAGAGAATAAATATAAAAAATTATTTTTAGGAATTTAACAAGCCTCAGGGTTTGTTAAAGCAAAAGAACTCAGTTAATTGACTAGACTTTCTCAAACACAGGGCCAATGCCAGAGAATCCCTGGGCTGTTACCTCCAGGGAGGCAGAATGCAAGCTGACTCATGCCACAAGGCTAATTCCCCGGGGCTGGTCTTAAACTTCAATATATAAATAGGACACCTGCTTATATAATAAATATCATGCAGGAATTCATTTTTAAGAACAAAATATAGGATTATTTTTCTTCAGAACTTATGCCTTATTATGCCCTATTTTTCCTGCTTCATTATAGTCCCAGGAAGTAATCCCTATCCTTTTAGGAATTCATTTGAAAGATAAAAAATATTAAAAGTGAACCAAACATACAAATATCTCTCCTTCACATTAAGTCGAGATTTTTCTCTAATAAGCAATTGCCTACTCTTGAAAAATCAGCCCACTTAAATTATTCTAAAATATAAATATAAAAATAAATTTTTGTAATAATTTTTGAAATGAAATAATTTTTATGTAACATTTGTGATGCCAAAACTGAGTCCAATAGTGTTTTGGTAAATCAGCTCTCTGGAAAAAAGGAAGAGAAAGAGGAAGACTTCTGATTGCCAATTTCCATGGTGATATAAACAGTCCTCCAATTTTGAGTCACTAATAGTTTAACATCCAGCTCATTAAATTCCAGAATATGCATTAATCAGCCCTTATGCCCAGCCAGTTCTAGCACACCACTACAAAATGTCAAACTATATGTAATTATCAATGGTACTGATTGGTTTCTCTTAATTGCTTTTTGGATATCAGAAGACAAAGAATAAAAATGAGGAAAAAAATTAGTGAACTCTGACCTGCATCTTCATTTTATTTTTGGTCCAATGTTTTTCAATACAAACAGAAAGGGAAAGAGAAAAGACACCAGATTCAGTCCCTGAAAAAAACTTGAGAATAAAAGAACAACTTTAATTATCTTAATTATACTAATCCCTGCCCATGATCCAAGAACCTAATGCATCACCTATGCTAACAAGAAATTACAGAACTAGAAGAGAGAATGGAATATAAATAATTAAGCAGATGAAGTTGAGTCCTAATTCATCACAGAGACAAGAGTCCTCTTAGTGTGTATTGAGAAGGAACTCAAATGTGCTAACTGGTGTTTAATCTATTTCACTTTCAGTACTATAATTTTCTGATTTTCTCTGGAGTCATCTATTATAATAAAGCTATAGCTATCTTGGATAGAATCAAACTCCCATCCTTTAAGGATGGGATTTTTTTTTTTTTTATCTTCAGATGGCAATGAGCAGCTAGATCTCGAGATCCCTACTTTTAGCTAGGGACAACATGACTCTCGTCTCTAGGACCTTTCCATGCAGGAACTGATTCTTTCCTTCAATCTCAGCAGCGTAGCTGGTTAAGAATTAACATTTAAACCAGACTTTACTAATGATTTAGGCCAACAAAGACATATTCAGAAAGGCAAATATACTGAACTGATCAAAAAAGTAGATGTGTCTTCTCCCAGGAGCCCACTTTGTCCACTTTCACTGGGTTGAGCTCTCAGCAACCCTCACTTGACAGAGACCATCTTTCACCACCTGAGCTCACCCTTGAACAAAACATAAATCTTGGGAATTCAGACACAAGAAAGGACTACTCTCTGAAAGGAGAGTGCAATTGACCTTGGACAACGTGGGGGTTAAGGGTACCAACCCCTTGCATAGTCAAAAGTCTGAGTATAACTTTTGACTCTCCAAAAACCCTATTGTTGACCAGAAACCTTACTGATAGCACAAACAGTCTATTAACACATATTTTTATGTGTGTGTATTATATATTGTATTATTATAGTAAAGTAAGCTACAGAAAAGAAAATGTTATTAAGAAAATCATAAGGAGTAGAAAATACATTCATAGTACTATTATGTATTTGTCGATAGGGTAAGCCTATGTGGTCTGTTTACAAGATTAATTATCTGTCTGAAATGGTGGGCAACCACAGCTGCAGACACATCAATCTATTGTGCATATCAAGTAATACAACTTTTTCTTACAATATAGTGACTTTTCTCTGCTTCTTGGTAGCACTTCCAGGATCACTAGTGGCACTTTGGATGGGTCCCATGGTATTATTTAAGGTTTATGGTACTGCATTCAACATGATGAAAAACATGCAAGAACTGGAAGAGATCACTTGTTACTGCCACCCTCAATTTACTCGAGGGAGAAAATTAACATCACATGATGTTTTAAGCAGATACTCACAACACTTGAGCTCACTGCAATGACAATTGGAGGTAGCTACAAAATTATTACAGTAGTGCGGCATATAATACAGTTAATTTTATGCAGCTATAATTTAATACTACAATTTTGTGCTTGTTTACATTTCTCACAACTGCTAATATCCCCATGTACACTTTGTGTGCAAAATTTTGATACATTTAGCTTTTTATAACAGGCTTGTATATATCTTATGGTAGTAAATTATAAAATAGATTTGTGTCTATGTGTATTTTATGCATTCATGAAATAACTTTTTCTTATTTTTTTCAATATTTCTAGGCTACACAGTTTGTCCCTGAGTTGTTTTTTGTTTTCCAAATTGCTGCAAATCTCCAAGAAAAAAATCTTTAAATATTTATTGAAAAAAAATCTACATATAAGTGGACCCATGCAGTTCAACCTGTGTTGTTCATGGGACAACTGTATGTACTCCTCTCTCCTGTTTGAGTCTTACCTCCCAAGTCTCTGTTTTCTATCTTAGGGCTCAACTCTTCCCAGGACCACTGACATCAGGAATATCTCCTCCTTTATGGGAAGGCTTTACTCTTTAACTATGGGAGAATGCCTCAGACCTCGTTCCTACCAGAACAACCACATCAGATCTGTAATATATAGCTTTACCACGTCCTCAGTGAGTGCCTCAATAAATCTGAGATATTCTTTTTTCCTTTGTGACTACTTCCTTTTGACCATACCCACTTGGTTCTGGGTCACTTCCAAAAGCTTTAAAACATACTTAATGAATGTGTTCCCTAAAATGCCTCTCTTATCCAGCTGTCCCTTTTGGGAAAAATAAAGGAAAATCTTGATTAACATTATTGTGAGAGGTTTTGGAGAGTGAAGGTCTTAGCAATTGCACTTGCTTCTTTGGTTTAATTTGGAATATTCAAACTCTACTAGAAGCATTAAAGACCAGTGCATTAGTCTGTTTTCATGGTGCTGATAAAGACGTACCCAAGACTGGGTAAATTTATAAAGAAAGAGCGGTTTAATGGACTCACGGTTCCAAGTGGCTGGGGAGGCCTCACAATCATGGTGGAAGGCAAAAGTCATGTCTTACATGGCAGCAGACAAGAGAGAAAATGAGATCCAAGCGAAAGGGGTTTTAAACCATCAGATCTCATGAGACTTATTCACTAGGACAAGAACAGTATAGAGGAAACCGCCCCCATGAGTTAATTATCTCCCACAAGATCCCTCCCATAATACGTGGGAATTATGACAGCTACAATTCAAGATGAGATTTGGGTGGGGGACAGCCAAACCATATCAGCCAGAAACAGGGAAGAGGGTACAGGAGGCCCCTCTAAAGACTCATAGAAGGCTCTACATTCTCAACTTATATATCGAAGGGAAAATGGCCAGAAATTGGCTTGGGTAGGGGAAGAGAATTATAAATTCAGATTGGTTGGGAAAAAAATTACACGCTCTTTAGGGATTCTCTTCTCCTAAAATAATACTAAGCAACTCAGTGGGGTCTTTTTCTCTGATTCTTTATGAAAAGGGAAATATCAATTTTGATCTCACCTGAAGGAACAACATTATAATTATACCAAGGAGAAACATACAGGCGAAAGGAAGCATAAGGACCATAAGAAGAAATTAAATCTTTTCAAAGCTAGGGGGGAAAATGGAGTGTCAGTGCCAAGAAGGATAACACCTACATACGCTCAGGAACTTCAGTGGTAAATTCACGGGTAATATATGACTATTCCAACACAGTCTTCATTTATTATGTTTGCCTTGTGGGCAAAGTAGAGAAATACCTTACCTCATCAATATGAAACTGCTCAAAACTCAGAAGCTACAGCCAATAGTAATATGTTTATGAAATATATATATTTTTAAACCCTCATTGCTTACAGATCAAAGCTACAACTGCACATAGCATCAACAACTGCCAATTCATATGGAAATCTACTCTCTGATGTTGCAAAAGAAGCTCTAACTGTTCATTTTGTATCAGTATGTGGCTATCTCCCTGCAATTTTCCAGTCAATCAAATTAAAATAAGGATATCAACCACAATCTAAAGTAGAACACACAACTTTTAAATGTGTTTTAATGATACAGTAACATGCAATACTCTGTAAACTATTACTAAGAGCTTTCCCAAGGAACTTTGTGAGAAGATTCAGACAGTCTCACTATTATTTAAAATCAAGATTCACTTTTTTGGAGGTATCAAAAACCTGTTTATCATTAAAACCTCCTTTCAGACATTAAGTGCATCAATCTATGTAATGTATCCAGTATTGTGCTGACCCCATAGTAGTACCTCTTATGCAAACCTTGGGAACAGATGGTGGGATGTTTAGGGACAGATGATGTTCTAAGGAAGGAATCCTAAACTTTTCAAATAATGTTCATTTTTATCTAAGTTTCCTACATAGTTATAAGGGAAAATATCTCAGCAGAAGAGAGCAGTGATATACTTGCATTTCTTAATGGCAGTTCTAGAACATTAGGTATGTAGCCTCATTCTCATTAGGAGCACAACCTCCTTTCATCTTTCACCTGCCTAAGAAACCCACATTAGTGTGATGGCTGAGTAATGTAATACCAAAGCCTCTTGGCCAGTGAAACTTACTTCGTTTTTAAATACTTGTTTCATACTCTATAGTTTAAAATCAAAATTAAGGTTTAATGTGAATGTATTTTAGCAGAAAGTTCTATGTGTATGTATGTGTACATGTGTTTTAGATGGAGATATATAGAGAGGGAAAAAATGAGATAGATATTAGAATGATAGATTGGCACATGATAGACAAACAGAAAATTATTTATCAGAGCTGGAAGCAAGCAGCCTTACAAAGCTATGGGAAATCGAGCCCCACACTTTTGTATTGGTTAAATCATTACCATCTTTTTTCATATTTGGAAGACTAAAATGTATAGATTGTAACTATTTTCCCAAGGTAAAAGTGATAGTAGAAAGTAGTAGATTAGCAATAGAAACCCAGATCTCCTGCTTCTTAATACAGTATGGTTTTGTTTTTAACTTTTACATTTGTTGTGTTTTTAATTTTTTAGAAAATGTTTAAATGTTATATTTAAAGAAAAGTTGCAAAAATAATGCAGAAAGTTCCCATATACCCTTCAGGTACTGTCCTCTAATGTGGACATCTTGCATAACTATCATATAATTATCAAAACTAAGACACTAACACTGGAACCATATTATTAAATAAAACACTCATATCAGCAGCTTTTCCACTCATGTGTTTTTCTGCTCCAAGATCAAATCTAAGATTAGACGATACATTTGGTTTTTATGTCTCCTGGGTCTCTGTAATTTGTGTGATGAAAGAACTACTTAGTGAAGGAAATTTGACATCTTAAAAGAAATGATTATCAAACACCGAGCCCAGAAATGAACTAAAGTATTAATTAATGATAATATCTTGGAGCCTTCATATTCATAATCATTTTATACTTCATAATGACCATTATACATTGATACCTTTTTTTTCTGTATTCTAAACTGGAACACTCTGAAATTTATCCCTCTTCCTTTTTCATAATTTGCTATTTTTACAACTGACAATGTTAAGATTCAGTAGCTCTGTCTCTGTGTCAAAAGAAGCATCAGATGGGCAACATAGTAAGGAAAAAATGTTGATCATTTACTATGTAATCTTAGGAAAATTATTTAACCGTTCTGGATTTCCATTTCTTTTTACAACAGAAAGCAATAATGCCTACATTTTAGAGTTGTTGTAAGGATTAAATGTAAAGGTCCAAGCCCAGCGTTTGAAATATAATTAGTACTCACTAAATGTTGATTCATTAATTATTATTCTAAATCAGTGCTTCTCCACTGGGAATGATTATGCCCCCCAGGAGACATCTAACAATGTTTGGAGACACTTGGCTGTCACAGTTTTGGAGAGGTGCTACTGGCATCTAGAGAGAGGCCAGGGATGAAGCTAAACATCCCTCAATGTAGAGATGAGTCCTCCAGAACAAAGAACTACCTGGCTCAAAATGTCAACAGTGCTGTTTAAAAAACTGTGTTTTAAAGAATGAGATGAGTTTTTCTGCATCCTGGCTCTGGAACACCGATACACTGGAATGAACTGAGATGGCAAAACATATTACATGAAGTCCAACCACTTAACATTGACCAACCAAAGGCTTATTGTTACATTTTAAAGCATTAAATGGAAGTCTGTAGCTGAAATCTCAAATGCTCTGCCTGGAAACTAAGGTCTTCGTAATTGACATTGCTCTATCATATATGTCTTCCTTCCCTGACTTTACCCAATCTCAGACCACAAAGAAAAAGAGTATGAAAATTTACACATAAAGCTTTCCTTTGTTTAAGGGCAGGAAATGTAAAATGTTTGCTTTCATTCTCACTTAATCGCAATAGAGAGCTGAAGGTAGAGGCTGGCAAAACCGTTTACACTTCCACCATACTTTTCCTTAACAAACTCTTATTAATAGTGTTACCTTGCCCAGGTACCTGTCTCTAGGATTATGACTTGTTTGGAGCTCAGTCTTCTCCTTGTTAGAAAGCCATGTCTTTTTCATCTCCCTGGAAAAGAAATGAATAAACAGAAGATTTGGTAATCAGAACAGAAACAGTAGTTTTCTCAGATTTAACAAAAGTGAAAGACAAAATATATTTTAATTATTATCTCTAGTTTAAAAGAACATCATGGAAAATGTGATCATAAGGATAAATTTACTTTATTTTCACTGTAGACTCATGTGACAGCCCAAACACTGCAGTGAACTTTAAACCTGACAAATTGGGTTGTAATCAGGTGTTAGTTATATTAACATAACTTAAATACTTTATATAAATGTAAATATATAGAAATATAGATATATAATATATATTTATATATATAGCTTATGTATGCATATGTATATACACATTATATATGTGTATATACATATATACACAGACACACACATACACTGAAAAAGAAAGCTTCTGACATTGTTAACTTCCCAAAACAGATAACTCTGCTACTTTATGGGAGTCAGCCGAAGAGGGAATTAAATCAAAACCTCAGATATTAATCCTAATAACTATGATTACAGCAACTAATACAAAATAACAGTATTAAGAATTTTTCCCAGGCATGTTGGCTCATTCCTGTAATCCTAGCACTTTGGGAGGCTAAGGCAGGTGGATCACTTGAGGCCAGGAGTTCAAGATCAGCCTGGCCAAAATGGAAAAACTCTGTCTCTACCAAAAATACAAAAATTAGCTAGGCATGGTGGCCTGTGTCTGTAATCCCAGCTACTCAGGAGGCTGAGGCAGGAGAATTGCTTGAGCCTGGGAGGCAGAGGTTGCAGTGAGTGGAGATTGCACCTGTGCACTCTAGCCTGGGCAACAGAGCAAGACTCTGTCTCAAAGAAAAAAAAGATTTTTTGAGAATTCAGCACAAACCAAGCATTAAGCTCAAGGGCTTTGCACACCTTACCCCATTTCATTCAAATAATAACTGACTCAGTTCCTTATGAATTATCACTATCTGCATATTAACAACAAGGAACTGAGGTACAACATACAGAGCTAATAAATGGTAGATTCAGGATTTGAAACCACAGCTATTAGTCAGTACATCATATTATACACTATAACTAAATCATAGGTACAATTAAACCAAAGTTATATTTTATTAATTTAACTTGGTTTTTGTGCTAAGGTTATTTGTGCTTGGCAAACCACGTCCTCATAAATAGGGCAAGGTAATTTATTCACTTATTTGATAAACATTTATGAGTGCTTAGTATGTGTAAGGCACTCTCTTGGAACTTGCTAGGGACACAAAGATAAATCAAATATACAGTATAGCCTCAAACAACTTATAATATGAAATAACAAAGAGAGAATGAGATGTTTCCAGGAAGCTGTAGAAAGAGATGTTGCCTCCTTTAGAGCTGTCTCTGTAGTTTCTACAAGTGTGCATGATTCATAACAGGCAATGATTGGATTAACACATGCATAAATGTAAGTGTAAACAATCAAAGGTAGCGTATGAGCCAGGACATAAACATTGCTAGGATTCCCATATAAAAATAGAGGGAAAAACACATTCAGACAGAGCTAGTGGAGAAAATGAACAGTATAAACAAGACTGAGTTTATTAGTCTATTAAGTATGAATGAAAGAAACATTTTTCATTTACACAAAGATAACAGACTTCCTTTGTCAAAAATTCCAACAATAAAGTAAGATATTAAAAAAATCAGAGAAGCCAGAGAGGGCCATCTGTAAGTAATAAGTGGATGGACAAGTCTGAACTAATCCATTTTTCTCATCCCATATCCATTTATTAAAAATTATGAGGTTTTATTGCTCTGTTGTCATCATATATTTTCAGGGAGATGCTCAGGCTTGTCACACAGATGAGAGCAAAGATATTTGTTAGATCTTAGAACCATATAATAAACTACTGACAAAAACAAGTAAAAAAGCAAATATTTGCAAAACTGATATAAGTGGCCTCAAGTGAAAAAATTAATTTTAATTCTCATCATTTACTTAGGAATAAAGATATGGCCTCAAAAACTAGAACTTTGGCTGTTGTTAGCCAACATAATGGTGTTTTCATTTTAAATAAGAGTTATTCAGAAAAAAAAATCTTTTTCTTCTGTACAAATAGGAATGCTGAAAAAAAATTCATATGTCTTAAACTCTTTTTCATATATCACCTCTTCCAACAAAATATGAAACTATTTTCCATCCTGCTTATTCAACCTTAATTTCAATGTCAACAATTTTTGATGAAGATATAAAGATTTGTAGAGCTTTTATCATTGTATTACAATTTTTTAGGTTCCCCCATCTTCAAAATTAAACTCTCAATTGTTTACATTTTAAAGTAAAAGGTTATGAAATAAAATATTTTCAAACAAAATTTAAGGGGAGACGATACAGACAGAGACTATTGTTGCCTAAACCACCAACTGATTGACACTTTACAAGTGTCACTTTTAGTATCTTGACCACAACTGTCAGACTTGGTTAAGTAATTGGTTCCAGGATAAACATCCAATATGCATCCAACCAATAGAGTCTGCTTAGTGCTGTATGTTTTCTCAATAAGTATATGAAAAGCAATACCTTTTACTTTCTTCCTAGGGGGTTCAAAAGTAGTTATCATCACTTTCACTGTTTACAATGTGGTCATAGTCAAGGAAACAGGGTGACACATGAAACTTAAATAAGGTGAGATTCCATCAACCTCACACTGTCCAGAATTCTCACATTCCACTTGATGAAACACTCTGACAACCAGATTGAAAATGGAGCAATGTGTATATTTTTACAGCCAATGCATCTAAGCCCATATCCAAAAAGAATATCCACTTGTAAAATTACTTGAATTCCACACCTCCTCACTGCCTCGATTTTCCTAATGCTCTGAAGGTCTAAGAACAAACTGTGAAGTTATATATGAGCCAATTGGTAGCTGCTGTATAAATCATACTAAAATAAATAGAATTCATGGCTAAGATTAAACAGCCCATGGCAAGGCTCTTGTGTAAATAAACCCATTGTTCCTTTGTATATTAAAATTGTATTTATCAAACAAAAAAAGAATGAGCACACATTGCATGAAAAAGGCAACTCATTTAGGACAAAATGATGGTATATAATAAAAAGATTTATTGTGTGACTAAAATGAAAATTAAATTCCTGTTAAAATATTTATGTAGATGTGGCTGAAACATTCTGCTGGGAAATAAATCAGGGCGGCCTTTGGCATTTCACAGGCATAACTCCTCTATTCTTCTGCTGCAAATTTAGAGCTTACAAGATGCTAATGGCACCTCAGTTTCCAGGATAGTCTCTGCAGACTGCTTTCACTCAGCAGGTGGTAAGAATTTGCATCCATATTTCAAATATACTTCTATCTCATTACTGGCTTCTTATTTCTTTGTGATTTATGTCTCTATAAAATTCCAGCTAGTGCAATGGGGAATGGGCTTTCAAAAAGGCAAAAACCCCATAATATGGACATTTATCACTTTCTTCCTTCTTTACTTTTTTCTTCATCTCCAGAGAGACGGGGTGAATGACAGGTAGCACTTAAAGTGAAGGTGTACTTTTCTTAAAATAATGCCACTTGAAAGCTTTCAAAATTAAGACTATTTCTCCAAACATCAGTAGCTAGTGAGTGGCAGTAGCACTTGTACCGTTACCTACATTTAACTGAACCGCGATCTTTAAATAACATATATACATTAGAAAGTATCTCACTTGATAACTATTAATTTGTAAGAATCTTCATTATTTAAAATTCAGGAAGTGCTTTTTGTAATAAGTCTGAACATAACAAATCTATTTGGTATTCATGCAGATGTCACAGCAATTTCAGAGTTGTTACACTATAATTCTGTGCTACTTAATAGATATTAAGGTGGTAGCAGTTGTGTCACTGTAGATAAGACTCTTTCACAGTTCCTTTGTCAAATTCACCTCTTGCTGGTGTTTAGAATTTAGCTAAAGTAAAATTACACGCTTGTGAAAATTGACAGGTTCAGGGATTTAGAGGCATTTTCCAGGGGCAAGAAAGAGCAAGCTATAGTGAAATGAAAGGCAGCAAGGAGGGATGTAGGCAAGGTAGCTGAATATTACTAGGATTAAACTTAGACGTGTAAATTTTTAATTTGTATGGTAAATTAAAGAATATAAACCCACATATTTCCTTCTAGGTCTTATTTTTTTCATATTCCATTCCAGAAGAGAAATTAAAACACTTAGGGAGATTTTACAGGCCATATGCTAGAATACCAGGTGCTAAGATGTCTATCCTATTTCAAAAAGTCACTGATATTTTAAATAATTTTCTGAATTAAATTAAAAACATTTTGCCATTTGACTTAAAATAGATTACATTTAGTGAAGGTATTTTACATTGAGGTACACAGATTTTTTTTATTGGATATAACAAAAAGCTGAAATCAATAGTCCTAAATAATAAAGAGAATGTATTGATTCATTTAACTAACATATTCACAGAAGAGATTTGGTCCAGCAGCTCATAACATCACCAAAGACTGAATTCTATTCTTTCTCTCCCTTTGTTTCTCAGGCTTCCTTTCATGATGGCTGCCAGTAACAGCTACCCCTCATTTACATCCAGCAGAGATGAGGGGTATCTCTTCGGGGAGTTCATGCAAAAAAGTAAGAAATCTTCATTCTTGAAGCCCACAGAAAATGTCCCCTCAGTCTCACTGTCTAAAACTGTGCCATGTGCCATCTTTAAATCAATCTCTGTATTCCAAGAAAACAGAATACTCTAAATTGCTTACGCTAACTAGGGCCAACCTCTGCCCCTGGAAATCGATGTCAAATCTATCAAAACAGAGTGGCTAGGAAATCCACGGAGGCCCTATTAGGAATGGGACCAGGAAGCGGAAGCCATTAAGGCTACCAACAATGTGTGCTGTGGACACCGTGCACTTTATCTCCAGGATTTCATTTATTCCTCAGAGCAATTTTATGTTCTGAATATTAAAGACTCCAAGTTTCTAAGGCATGAAGAAATTGAAAAAGTTTGAAATTTATTTTGATATAAAGAATGGAGGAAAGCTTGAAACACACATTATTTAGGATCCAGATAAATATGATTTATGCAGATTCTGTGATTTAACCATTTGATTGTGGGCTTTCATGACCTGATCATGCACCTTTCTATCAGGACTTTATAATTAAAGTTAGAAGTAATACAGAAGATATGAGAACCATGTATTTATTTATTTAGAACTAATTATCCAGTTTGGGGTATGAAGCCAGAAGCAGATGTTGTTTGGTTGTTTTGTTTTTTCCTTTGTTCAAAACAAGAGAGTCTTTCACATAGACTTTGAAGGGAAGCTTTAATGCTGCTTTCTGTCCTCCTCAAATGCAGTAAGGAATAACAGGAAGGGTGCCTGACAACAGGAAAAGCTCTATTGAGCCAGGAATTATTTAAAAAAAAATTTTTTATCATGTATATAATGCTATTTTTAAGAAAAGTTCTTGGGGCAAGGTAAGGACTCATAAACACTTATTGAATAAATAAATGAATGAGGGCATGAATGAATGAAGATAAAGCAACTTAAAGCCTTGCTTTCTCATGAGTCTAGGCAAAATTGATGATTGTTGATAGTGGGAAAGAAAAGGTCATGGGAACTTAGTTTTTCAATAGCGTGCAAGGTTTTTCTTTGTGCAGCTGGGAAGGAGCAAAACGTCCGTAAGTGGGTCTCAGCAGGTGCAAACAAAGAAGCACAGACCAGGTATGTGTTCTGTATCCCTGAGCTATTCAAGAAAATCAGCCATCTGTCCCCGCAGCATAAGCCAGCCAGAGCATAGTCCTAGCTCCTTCCAGGGACAGCCACATTTAAAAGTTGGACAACCACACACTAAGGGGGTGGGACCTCCTCAGCACAAGTAGTATCTACAGTCTTGAAAATATTCTTAGTTAAAAGACAATCACAAAACACTATTTTGAACAAAACATTACAACTTAAATTTGATTTCATGAAGCAGCTTTATATTAAGGCCTGAGGCTCTATCTTCTTTAAGAGACAGTCTTATAACTACAAAAAACTTAGTTTCAGGGTGGTTTTTTCTTAAACAAGTTTTAAGACCCATCGATTTTTTCGGGATACACTTGACTAGATAGATGAGTTCCAGACATCTCATAAACGTGTGCAACTTAGTTAAATCTGGTAGCATAGTTCTTCCTGACATACAGTCTCATTTTTAAAGTACATTCTAATAGTCAAAGGTAATTAAAGCTAACCATCTAAGCTAATACCACCTCAGTATAGAAACAGAAATATTTCATTCTCCAGAAGTCTCCTGTGTATTCTTAGTCATAACCCCTCTCCATCAAAAATAAACACTATCTTGAATTTTATGCTAATCAGTTACTTTTCCTTATAGTTTTAAACCTACATGCACATTTTAAAACAGCAGTTTATGCTTTGTCTATGATGAATTGACTATATATGTAGTTATGTGTATATTACTGTAATATATATGTGTGTGTGTGTGTGTATATATATATATATATATCTTACTACATATATTCTTTAGTGTCTTACTTCTTCCCCTCAGATATATACTATTCATTCATGTTGTGGTATCTAGAGCTGTAGTTCATTCATTTTCAGTATTTGTATATGTAGTTGTTATCTAATTTTTCCATGATTTATTCATCTATTCTACCGAGTCGATATTTATATTTATTTAGATTTACAGTTGGAGATTTTACAAATCATACCATTGTGAACATTGGTATATGCATCCTGATGTAAATATATACAAATTTCTCTAAGGGCTATGATGAGTATTATAATTCCTGGATTATAAGTATATTTTCCCCCAGCTTTAGTAGATGTTGTGCATTAGTTTCCCCAGAAGGCAAATTCTGAGACAGAGATTTACATGTAGGAAGTTGACTGGCGAGTGTTTGCAGACTTGACATCCACAGAAGAAAAGAAGGTAACAAGATTAAGTGAAAGCCAGCTACAGTTAGCTCCACAGAGATCCTTGAAGCTGTGATGACGCTTCAGAGTTACTGTTGAGGCAATGAGGCTAAAAAATTATGTTCCCCACTGAACAGTAATTAGAGCAGGCTTTGCCCTGGAAGAAACGACCATACATGAAAAGTCACTCTTCACCTGAGGGCAACTTCCAGAGAGGGCTGAAAGCTAAAGGCTATTCCAGCAGCAACCCTCAGTGCAGCTGGAAAAATAAATCCTTCAGTTCAGAATATAAATCTGGGCCATGTAGCAGAGTGTCCACTAGAACAGGTAATACCAATGGGCTTTCCAAAGTGGCCATCTAATTCAACTTTTTACGCTATCTCTTAAAGTGTATAAAACGGAATGAAATGCCTTCTTAGTGCAAACATCTTCAATTTCCTTATTTCCTTGGCGCTGTAACCTAAGCCACATGAAGTGGAGATACTCCCCCAAAACTATTTCTCCTTCACTCTTCAAACAAGGTCCTTCAAGAAAGAAAGGAGGAACATAGAGTTTGAGATGAGTGATGGAGCGATCCTGATACAAGGAGAAATGGGGAGTTTTTACCTCCAACAGAGAGGTTTGGAAAATAAGTGAGTTTACCAGGAGAGGGACTCAGGAGGTAGAAGATCCATTGACAAGGACCTGGTGAGGGTCCACTGGGAGGTACATAATTTTCACACTTGTTCTCTTTTTATGTTTAGTCATTGCTTACGAAACCCCTCCCCACACCTTTACTCAAGGGCAAACTTCAAACCACATGAGTCTACAGCCATGTCATAAACATCTTCTGATCAGCTTTCAGCACCTCACCTGTTGATATCCCAGCAGGAGTGAGGTCTGTTTGTATTATATTTTGTCTGACTTCCCCTTCACACCTGTCATCCCGAGAAAATGATTTGAGACCTATACACCTTGTAGAGTAATAGCAGAAAAGCTTTGGCATTCAGGAAAAGAGAGCTGATCTTAACAAGTTAAAAACAAACAACTTGAACTGTGAAAGTAATGAATAACACTCCTCTTTACATCATTGTTTTGTACTTTCCTGCCTTCTAAACATTGCCTGCTAAACCTTCATGCCCTACCCTGAACATTACTTTGATATCAAAAGTAAACCTTATTTACCCCTTGCAGGGGCAAAGAGAATTATGCAATTGAGTCATTGTTGTCAGGACGCAAACTGGGACATCTCTGATCTGCAGGAATTTTCAAGTTTATTATTTCAAAAATGAAAGTATTAAAGTGCTTCTTCCCAAGTAATTTGTTAATTAAGGGATTACTGTACCTCTGACACTCCCATAATTGATCTGAGAGGCATGTAGAAAACTAATATTCATTTCCTCATTTTCTTTCCCAATTAAGAAAGAGCAAGTCAGTTCAGATGGCTTGTCTAGGGTCACAGAACAAGTCAGTGGTGAGCCCCTGTGTCCATTAATTCCAGTCAGACAGGGTGCATTGAGCATTGCTAGGAGGCTTTGCTCATTCAGTGATCACTGAATGGATGGAAGTCAGATATTTGCTACTGAGATATTTTCAGGGTGAGGCCCACTGACCTGCAGAGGATTGATTGAGTCTTCGACATTGCTGTAGCCCAATGAGGACAGCTCACTAGTAAATTAAACCTTGACTTAAGGTTTTGCCCTCAGTTCTAAGCAACACCTTGGGATGAATCAGGAATACATCACATTTCCAAATACAGTAAAATTAATTATTACACATATTTTATCAGCCACATTTTGCTCGATTTCTGCAACCAAGAAATGGACTGAAAATTATGGCATTATTCATTTAATTACTCATAAGAATACCTGTGACATACATTCATATAACCATGAAGACCCTGTATGAAATTGATTCACCCAAGAACATCAGAAGTGTTCTTTTTTCCATTGCAACATAATGAATAAAAACAAATGTATTATAAGCAAGTCTGTCGATATGGAAGGAGGCAAAATAAAATAATGAAAACTCATTTTCATTTCTTTGCGATTATACCCTCCAGAGGTAACAGGAGGTGTAATCAAGAGAGTAATCAAGGTGACATATATTAATTCAGATATTTTACTATGAATTGTCATACTTCTTCCTGCAGCTATCCTTGATTCTCATTTACTGGAACTCAAACCCTCCCATGCTCAGATTAAAAATCTTTTAAGTCATTCTCAATTTCTCTCACATCCAAACTGGCCCATCAGCAAATCTTGTTGATTCTACCCTATATACATATCTGGAAACCATCCCAAGCCACCACCCTATTATGATTATTGTACCTTATTTGGATTATCAGAGTAGCCTCTCAAATGCTGTTCAGCTCCTCCCCTTTCCCACATCAGTCAGTTCTGAAAACAGCAACCCAAGAGATCTTGTTATAATGTAAAGCAGAACCTGCAACTTCTTTTCCTCAAAACCCCCAAGGAGTTTAGCATCTCACTCAAACTAAAAGCCAGCGTATGCTAATCAAGAACTTCAGGACCCTACATGATGTGATCCCCTTCCCATTGCCATTCCTTCTCTGCCTCCATGGCATTCTGGTCTTCCCTCTCTCAAGTACAATCCCAACAGCTCCCTTTCTGTTGCTGGAACACCAGACACAATCCCACCTTAGAGCTTTTGCCCTTGTGGTTCTCTAAGAATGCCCTCTACCAATTATCAGCATGGTTAGCATCCTCCAGGTCTCAATTCTCAAGTCACCATCACAAGGAAGCCTTCCCTGGACAATGTATCTAAAATTTCAATGTCCACTAATGTATCACAGCCCATTCCACACTCTCATTTATTCTTAGCATGCTTCATTACCTAATATATTATAGTATTGTTTAAATTTATTTGGTTTATTATGTCTCTGCCAGGAGAATGTAAGCTATGAGAGAAGCAATTTTGTTTTTCACTATTGTAGCTCTAGTTCCTAGGTTACATTCAATTTTTGAATATATAAGTAAATTTTTAAAAATAAACAAGATTTTTAAAATTTAACAATTATTTCAAGTCTATCTTTCCATGATATTGTATATAGAATTTATATGACTACATGTATTTCCATTATGTGGATATATCATTTTTATTTAACCATTTCCCTCTGATAAATGTTTATTTTCCATTTCTATTTGTTATTAGGAACAATAATAAACATACGTCTTTCTGCAATGTACAATTCTATGTTATTTTCCTCATGCTTAACAGAGTAAGAGCTAAAGTCCAAATGTACCGTGGGGTTTGCTTGTGATTAGGAAGAAAATGGCAGAGTTTACACCCCTTTTTTAGACCCCAGGTCTAGCACTTGTTTCCGTATTTGATGTATTTTACCATCACTGTTTTTTTGAGGGTGTCACTCTTTTGTCCATTTCATTTAAAAATGGATTTATTGCAGTCTTTATTGATTACTAGTGGTAAACAAAACTACAAAAATAGCCAGAAGAGAGAAAATAGAAGATCAACAATGAATCCATCAATGGCAAGCAAGAAGAAGGAAACTGATAGAAATAGGCCTTATAACTCAGGAAAGAATGAAAGGTAGTCAACACTTCATATAAATATGTAAGTACAGCAGATGTAAGAAGGAGACACAAACAGGGAGTGGCTATAAAATTAAAACAAGCAAATCAGAAAATGACTGTTGTTCTGGGAAGGGGAAAGTATCTGGACACTAATAAAGGTTGAATTATTAGGCTTTGTGTGCCTAACAAGGATATTCTCATCAAAGTGCAAGCATTCAGCTGGGTACAGTGGCTCACACCTGTAATCCCAGCACTTTGGGAAGCCAAGGCAGGCAGATCACTTGAGGTCAGGATTTGAGACCATCCTCGTCAATATGGTGAAACCCCATCTCTACTAAAATTACAAAAATTAGCCAGGCATGGTGTGCACATCTGTAATCCCAGCTACTCAGGAGGCTGAGGCAGGAGAATCGCTTGAACCCAGGAGGAGAAAATTCCCCCTCCAGCCCGGGCCACAGAGTGCACAGAGTGAGCCTTCCTCTCAAAAAAAAAAAAAAAAAAAGCAAGTATTCCACAGTTAACTAGGTGTTCCAAGGAAATCTTGATGATTATGTGAAGTTTGTGTCTACAAAGAGACATTATGATTTATCAAAGAGCACAAAATATTTGACTGGCCTAAATTCTGAATTTTCACTCTCATTTACCTTGAATGTGGAAGAAGTAAAGATTAGGGCTCAGCTCTCATGTGGTTTATAATTGAGAAATTCTACCTGTAATAGAGAAGACTTGTTTTCAATTATTCATGCCCTCCTTGCTTTAGAGTTATACATCTGCATCCTTTGCCATTTGTCTTTCCAGGTTCTCCTGCAATGGCAGGCATCCTTGCCCTCTCTGCCGCCCCAGTATTGGAGCTTGGCTATATAACTTGCAATTGCCAATGTAAAGTACGTGAGGGAGTGACAGTGCACCAGGTTTAGGTCAAGGGCTTAAGAGACATCATGTGAATCTGTCCATAAGCTTAAATTCCTGTGATCACCATGAGGAAAGCAAGCCCCAGAAAGGCACTAACTTTTCAAAATGGAACCCAGAATGAGACACATGGAGTAGACCTGAATTTGACTGACTTTGAAGCTGGAGCTGAGCTGAGCCTACCAGCTTAATTGTAGACCAATTAGCAATAAAAATAAATGCTGGGTGTTATAAGCCATGAGTTTGGGGATGATTGTTATACAGTATTGTTGCTGCAGTAGCTGACTATCTGAAAGACTTCTCTGGCTCTTACTCTCCATACCTATATGATAGTAGAGACAAATGCTATATAACTGGCCGATGTCAAATCTCAGTTTCATCACCTTCTGTCTGTGTGACCATGAATGAAATCTACCTGAGATTTGGCCTTTTCATTGTATAAGCTTGGAGTAGTAAAGTTACAGGGTGACTAAAATAAAAATCTATGAAAAACACTTGGTACAATGTAAATCTTCAGTAAATATTCATTGTTTTTGTTGCTGAAGGTGGCATTATTATTATTCCCACCATTGCTCAGGTTTCCACCACCCAAAGAGGGCTCAGTTCTTGGTGATGTTCCTATTCGTAGTTTTGACCTTTCTGAAAGGAATCATTCACACCAGCTCCCTTAACCTGATCTGCCCCCATCTCAAAAGTCTTCCTGAAATCTGGGCTTCAGAGCAGCATCCAAAAATATGTCCTACCAGGCTCTTGCCACCATCAATAGCTAGAAAAGGAAGGAATTCAGAAGGAGAAAAAAGAATAGCTATAACTTGACGTTTAGATCTAAACACAATACATTCCCAGATAAGCAACCTGCCTGCATTCAGATTTCTTAATTTTCAATTTCTATTTACCACTGAAACCCTGGCACACAGAGATACTCTTTCAGGAATCTCTAGAACTTCTATGAAACTGATTATCAACTAACCTAAGTCAGTTCACATACATGAGTGAATGAAGCTTTATCCAAGATGAAGGGTCCTGACTGGGTAAAAATAATTTCTGAGGAAATTTCTTTATCCCAAACAGTAGACGTTCAAACGAGCATGTGGCCATAAACATTATTGAATGCAACTTCCACATGGTACAGAGTAAAATGCAGAGTCTTGTGAGGTCAGATTGCTATATGGGGCTGTAAGTCTTCCTAACTCTGGCTCAGAGTCATTTTTACTGCTGCAATGCTCTCCATATGGAAAGTTATTTGCAGTGTTCTTCTTCTCCAACTGGAGGTCAGGTGCCCTAGAAAAAAAGAGGAAGACCCATTGGAAGATGTTTAGAGGACCTCTGGGACTCAGGGTCACACAACTCCGCTGAATTCTTAAATACACATTTGGAGAGATGCCTCTTTACTTGTTTTACTTCTCCAACTGTAAAGAAAATGCCAGTGAAAATTAATTCACATAAATGTTTTAAGAAACATAAATTGCCTTTGTAGAAACATCGAGCCTACAGAGACTCCTTAGAGGACAATAATGAGGAGTAAAACCTTTGGCTTTTGGCTGCATTATTTTGCATTTTAAAATTTGGCACACATTTCAGCCTTTTTATTATTATTATTATTAGTCCCTTAAGGAGCATTTTTCTACTTTTAAAGTTGTTCCCTCATTCCCTCCCTCAGCCCCTGAAACATTAACACCACATATATATTGCATATGTACTGAATTTATAGCTGTGATTTATATTTAAAAAATAGTCAGTTTTTATTTTCTCCCTCTCAAAAACAAGTGTTTACCCTCTTAGAGGTGATATAGCCCCCACTGAAGAGTCCTGCTATAAATAAAGTACAATGCAGGGGGCACACACTGAAACCATGTCAGGTAACAAGTATGAGCCAGTTGTAATATACACCTTATATTAGGGTTCCACAACCCCTGGGCCACGGACCACCGCCGCACAGCAGGAGATGAGTGGCGGGGTGAGCCAGTGAAGTTTCATCTCTATTTACAGCCACTTCCCATCGCTGGCATTACTGCCTGGCTCTGCCTCCTGTCAGATCATTGGCAACATTAGATTCTTATAGGAGCGTGAACCCTATTGTAAACTGCACATGTGAGGTGTCTAGATTGTGTGCTCCTTATGAGAATCTAATGCCTGATGATCTGTCACTGTCTATCACCCCAAAATGGGATAGTCTACTTGCAGGAAAACAAGCTCAGGGCTCCCACTGATTCTACATTATGGTGAGTAGTATAATCATATTGTTGCATATTATTATATAATAATAATAGAAATAAAGAAGTTGATAAATGTAATGTGCTTGAATCATCCTGAAACAATTCCCTGCACCCGAGTCCGTGGAAAAATTGTCTTCCACAAAACTGGTCCCTGGTGACAAAAACATTGGGGACTGCTGTATTATTTTGGAGTCCATTAAAAGCAATTTCTGAATAATTTGTGTGTACTATTATTTATAGTATAATAATCTATAAACTTTCCATAACTCATTAATGATTTTGTTGGTAGACTTCAAGCATAAGGATAAAATCTCTTCATCTCTAAAATGAGGTCAATCATGGGTAGTGATATTTGTCAACTTACCATAATTCAGTAATTTTCCAGAATGATCAAAATTGGGGGAATATTGAATGGCTTTACTTAGATAACTTTTATTCATCTTAATGAAGCTGTCTCATTAACCTGCAAGGTATAGAGACATTTGTCGGTTTGAGAGTACCCAGTATTTATTCATCTTTCTGATAACATCATCATTTCCTTGTGAAAAACTTTCTGCCTTATTGTGTGCAGGATAGGTGGAATGGTGAATGTAGATGGGTAATACGTATGCCTTGTTCTTTCTGCAGAAGCAAGAAAAGCTGAAATCTTCTCACTTCAAAGGAATGGCACATGACAGCACTTAGCCAATAAAGCATTCTCTTCTGGGACTTTGCAATGCAAGCAAATGAAACCAGGAACACATGGCATTTATTCACCCCAGGGAGCTGTCCAAAGCAGACTATTGCAGCTAGTCTGCAATGAGACCACTGCTGAGGAAACTACTTTCTAGCATTCTGGAGTTATCTCAATCTTTCCTCATTTCACAAGCCCACCTGTTACTTCTTTTAATTCCATTATCCCTCTGTTCCTTTCCAGCACCTTTTCTTTTTTTTATCTTTGCTTAAAATTTTTTTTAACTTTTTGCTTCTAAAAACCAAGAAATTTTAAGTTATCAGAAATTTGATAAAAGATGAGTGACCCAGTTACTTTGGTTAAGTCTCAGGAGAAGATTTTAAAGCAATTATGTCCAATAAGGCAACCACTAACCACATGGAACTATTTAAATTCAATTCAATTAAAATTAAATAAGACAAAAATTTAGTCTCTTGGTCACACTGGCTACAGTTCAAGTGGTCAATAGCTGCACGTAACTTATTGTTACTTTATTGGACAGCACAGACATAGAACATTCCCTTCATTGCAGAAAGTTCTGTTGGATAATTGCACTGTTCCGAAGTATCCAAGAGTCTATGACAGAAAATGAGAGGTATTATTAAGAAATCCTCAGGGAAAAATAAAAGTTGGCTTATGACAATGGACTCTGTTACTTCCCAGATTTACTAGCTATGATGAAATCTCTGGTATAAACAGGTATTTTGAGTCTAGCACAGTACCTGGTACATGGTAGTATGTAATTGCTATGCATTGAATTAATGTCTGCAGTATCAGATGCTACTAAAGCTGTGCGGATTAATAAATCTTCCTTCTGTGCTGTGTCTGGGCTGTTTTGTTATTTACTTTCCACAGGTTCCCTTGGAAGAAATTAAGCAAATAGATACTACTTCTTAGGTTTCTATTGTAGGAAAAATCTAGAAATGAGATTGCAAATATGAATGTTTTGGAAAACATGATGGTCACAGATAGCAATGTTCAGAGTATGTTCCACAGATGTTCAAAGGTGTTAATTTATTTTTAATAGATTGAGGATCTTGGAAAATAAATTAGGAAAATAAAGTTTATGTTAAACAAATGTAGCTGGATAATATTTCTTATATAGAAACCAATCTCTTTTTTTTTTTCTCCAGAGAGTTGGCTTGCTTCTCGAAACTACTTGCAATGCCTCAATTAAAGCCACTGTACTTTTCTATGTGCAGGGCCTTAGGGAGGGCTGTAATACAGGGGAAAGCAGAGAAAATAGCTGCCATCCTACATTTTGTTTCCAAAAGTCTCAGTCCTCAGAGGAAAAGACAGCACTGGAGGCAGAGACAAATGATTTGGGAGAAATATTAGTAGTGAGAGCAGTACTTACAATCTTCTCTCCACCCACAACCCAAAAAAGATTATTTTCTGGACTGGAGAAAAGAGAAGGAAAAAAAATAGAAATAAATTTCTAACACTTATGGTTTCTGGACAGTGGTACAGTCATTTGTGGTTTCTGGAAAGAGGAGTTCCGGGTCTCACCCTGGAAGGTGCAAACCCCATATAAAAAAATATATGTGTAGTTTGTGTAGTAGGTCTGTCTCAGCAGAGGAGGGCTGAGACAGCCTCGTGGAGAGCTCTCTGTCCCAGTGCAGGAAAACTGCATCAAAATGGTTCCTGTGCAGCCAGTAGTTTGTGTAGTAAGTCTGTCTCAGCAGAGGAGGGCTGAGACAGCCTCGTGGAGAGCTCTCTGTCCCAGTGCAGGAAAACTGCATCAAAATGGTTCCTGTGCAGCCACATTCAGCCTGGAATTGAAAGAGAGAACATGGGACTCAAAGGGGCAAAGCAGAAAGAAAAATTAATAAATATTGTTCAGCTGTTTACTTAGTTGTGACCTGCCTTGACAAAATATGCAGGGCAGCCAGATGAGATGAAGGGGATGTCAGAAGACATTCTGCATGGATATATTTCTAATAGAGCAAATATCTTTGCCCTTGGGGAAGAGAAGCCTCAAGCGAACAGAGCCCCATGTTGAGTGTTACTGTACAGCAAATGGTTTGGGAAAACATCACTTACTGCAAACTAGAACTAACAGACATTTGGCAGCTGCTGGAGTCAAGTGGTTCCCCTATCTTCTCAGCATCACATGGAGACTTGTGCTTGGGCGGCCACAGCTGGGCACATCATGAATCATGGTTCAGAGAGGGATCTTGCTCTTACTGCTGGTGCTTTTATGTAGGACTCCCACATGAGCAGCCTTGGGTGCTAGTTATTTAGGAAAGAATCATGACAGTGCTAGGGACCTGTCTCCTTGGAGCATCTTGGAATACAGAAAAACGCTTGTTCAATCAAAGTGTTATATTAAAAGATTAATAATAGTTACCTCTGGATGGCAGGTGGCACTAGAGTTTTCATCTTTCTATGCCTCTAAATTTTCCAAAATTTCCATAATAATTATGTATTCATTTCTTTTTGATCTTTATTTATTTAGCTGGCTGGCTATACATTACTTTCATAATGCAAAATGAACTTTACTTGAAACACTATCTACACCCTTAACAGTTTTGGAATTAAGACATTAATTAAGCAGCAGTTAACTAGGTCTGACATAATTAAATTTTAATTTTTGAATAATGATCCATTTACTACCAGGTCATATAATATTAATTATACTCAGTTCATTCACTTGTTTATTCAGCCATCCATTTCTCACTTAATTCTTTCAACTGATTATTTATTTTTGAAGAATGTTTCATGACAGAGGTCAGCAAACAATATAGTCCAAGGATCAACCTCAGTCTACTACCTAGGTTCCTATGGCTTGCCAGCCAACAATGGTTTCTAAATTTTCAAATGGTTGGGAAAAAAAATCAAAAGAAGAACATTTCATGACATGTGAAAATTAAATGAACTTCAAGTTGTATCCCAGGTCATAGTTTCCTCATTTCTAAAAGGAGGAGATTTGTCCAAAATATTATTTTGTTTTACTTTCTTGATTCATGTTTCAGAGAACATGAAGGCAGAAAATGCAGGTGAGAGATAGCACATGGTGGTTCTAGGGTTTGCTGTACTGTCTAGAATGGCGATGACTGCCCTGGCCACCTCAAGGGAAATAAAACACTCTATCATTAATTCTAAGCCTTACTCCCAAAATCATCTACTTCATGATTTGATATAACTGGAATATCCCTGGTTCGATATACCAAAATCAAATCAGGAGCTTAATTGATCCCAGAGCTTCAGGAAGCTGAGACAGGAGGATTGCTTAAGGCCAAGAGATTGACACCAGCCTGGCCAACACAGTGTGATCCCCTTCTCTACAAGAAAAAATTAATTTAATCAGACGTGGTGGTATACACCTGTAGTCCCAGCAACTCTGGAGGATGAGGCAAGGGAATTACTTGAGCTTGGGAATTCAAGGCTGCAGTGAGCTGTGACTGAGCCACTGCACACAAGCCAGGACAACAAAGTGAGATCCGACCTCTTAATATAAAAAAAAGCATAATCAAGGTTACATTTATAAATTTCAGGCATAGTGCTGCAAATCTTAACGAATTCACCTGGAACTGTTTTCTACCATAACTACACATATATTCAGTTCAGAACTTTAATTATCTGGAAACAGACCAGGCCAATAATCTTTAGGCAAATCCCCACTGTCAGACACTTAGAACAATGAGAATTTTCTAATGCCACCAGCTGCCTAATAAATTTCGAAGAGGTTTTTGATGTGTTTTAATGACTCAAATAGAGGCCTTAAGCACAAAGTTTGATAGTTTTTTTAGCTTCTTTCTGATTATATTATCTATAATAGTACTTTGGGGCACTGATAAAAAGAAATCTTGGTTGAAAATCAGGTGCTAGAAGAAATCTGACATACTGGTGGTGGATACAAGTTGGCACACTTACGTTTATCAGAGATATGTGTGGACGTATGCATTTAGATAGAAATATTCTACTACATAGGTCTGGTAAAAAAAAACACTTCAATACTTGTTCTTAGTGAAAAAGAGACATAGGTTTCATGGATAGCAAGCTGAATACATGTTCACTTTTCAAGTTCCTTGAATTATACTAGAGGGGAAGTATAATTCCCTTCCTTTCTCTTAACCTTAAATCCTTGCTTTTAATACAATGTGGGCTCCACCAGTGCAGTCAGACAAGGTCCAAGCTCAGAACCTTACAAGGGCCCCATACTTGGTTTAATGCCGTGTTTCCACCCTCCTGATAAGCTTAATAATTTGGGAGGAAATTACTAAGCATTTTACTTTTGCACTGGGCTCCACAGTCCTGGTCCCAACCCTCATGAAATGTAAGAATTAAGACTATTAATAGGAACTTAGTGTATACAATGTTAAGAGTTTATAAATCCATGTGCTGGTTATTCTCTATTTGACAGGGGAAATGCAAGAACTGTTTTTAAAACACTCCTTTAATCTCATTCTGATTCACCCTGACCTCTGCTCTAGGAGTCATACAGTTGGGGGAGGGAGGAATGAACATTAAAAATAAAATTTCAGAAACTACTGAATATACAGTTGGCATTTCTCATTCAGAATTATATTATGAACATTTCAGCACATATTTTTATGTTCTTTGAGAATATGATTTTTAATGTGTATGTAAATTTTTAATAGTGGAAGTAGAATTTACTTAATAACTTCCCTGTAGTTGGATACTTGTTTCCAGTATTTCCTGCTAGTAATATAAATATAGTTTGTCATGCATGTTTCCCTTTTATTTTTTAAATTAATACTCCTACAAGTGAAATTGCAGGGTAGTTTTATAAAATTTTAAGGACAGTTGATGAATATTGTCAAATTCAGAAAATCTATAATGATTTGTATTCCCATCAGATGGGTGTCACCTTTACCAACAATATTTTTAAGTGGTTAACAATTGATACATAAAAATGACTTTTTTTGTTTTGAGTTCATTTGAATAATATTAAAGTTAAGCATTTTATATGTATATTGGTCAGTTTCTTTCTCTATCTGCCTGTGTAATCTATCCATTTTTCTTTAGAGAAATTGGCATTTTCTTTTGTCTTGTATGAGCTTTTGTATAGGAATAACAAATTTTCTATCATATTTGTTTTAGGTTATCACTTCAGGAAATCATTTTAGGTAGTATGATGAGGCGTATATTATATATGAGATAGATAATCTCATATATATGATGAGATAGTGATTTATTTACAGTGGAAATATAAGAACTATTTTTAAACCACTTCTTATTAAACCTCCTCTCTTGCTTGATACTTTGTTGACTAAAGATTCTGAAAAAGCAAGAAGGGAAATATTAAATATCACAAACATGGCTCAGGAGGGAAAGAAATACTCATTTAAATAGAATGTGTTGTTTGGTTACAGTGTAGATATAGTTCTCGATTCATGAAGGGCCACTTCACTGCTGCACGTCACTCGCTCACATCAGACCATACTGCTTCCTGAACTTCCTTTCTCTTAACCTTAAATCCTTGCTTTCTAGTAGTGTTCAAAAGTTGTTAAATAAATTCAAAAGAATTAACCTCACTTAAAAATTCAGGTTGCAGGAATTATATTTAAATCTGTATAATTGCCTATATCCTCTAGCTCAAGCTACCGATCTTTTTTAAACTAGGGCATCACTAGATGCGGGATGGGAGTGCAGTGGGGATGGAATGTAAATCAGTGAAGAAAAGAATCACCAAGGTCCCATCTGCCCATTACCCTGCATTTCATGTTATGTACATACCCATGGGAGGTATTTAGAATGTACCATAAAATACAAAGTTAATGATTGGCCCCATAGGACAGTTATTCTAATTAATGACATGGTCTACTGATCCAGTCTGCACAACAGGGAGATCATATATGCATATGAAAAATATTACTGAAAAAAAAAATCGCCTTCTTTTTTCACTCACTTAAAGAGGAATGATGATTTAAAGCACCACAGTGGACCAAAAAAAAAAAAAAAAAAAGATTGATGTAGTCTATTTAATCACAAATAAAACCAAACTTTTGGGGAGGATGGGGGGTCTTGGGGGAAGAAGGGCATGAACAAAGAAGGCAGGATTTTACTTTTCCTAAATACTAGTCACATTGTTTGCCAAATAGGATAAGTCAGAGGCTCAGCAATATATCTAACACTTGGCAGAAAACAGAAAGATCTGAATCATTTCAAATACATTTACATTTCACCTATCTTTTCAGGGATAATTTGTATTTGTAATTAATTAACATAAGAGTGAAGAAATAATTATTTTGTTAATAAGAAACTTTCTTTTGATTCTTTGAGAATTAAGATTCCATGAGATAATACATAAATGGACATTCTGCAGTTAATGTTTTTTTCAATTTATAGTAGAAAACACAAGAGTTCACAGGCAATGATGCCTTTTCTTCTAATTAATATTGATAGGTAATTGATTGTGAGTTATCTTATAAAATGGAGCCATGGTAGCATGCAAAGTGTTCACAGAAAGCTAATAACTTTCTAAAATACCAGGCAATTCAGACACCCTGAAGTCTGAAATAATATGGGGAAATTATAGGATAATAGCATTTAGCAGCTGGTTGTGACCCTACCAATTATCTAGTCCAATCACCTCAAATAACAAATGAGAAAAAGCAATGACCCAAATATGTTAAGTGACTAGGTCATGGGCATGCAGCTGATTAGCAGCAAAGATTCAAATTAAATTTGGGTCTCCTAATAATTCATCCAGTCTCTTACCCATTACACCTATTAATAATCCTCCAAAGACCAGAATAAAAATTTATCTATGTATTCAAAATATATTTTGATGGAATAAGAGTCATTCTAACATTAAGTTAAAAGAGAATGAAACAAAAGCATATGCAAACAGCGTACAACCTCAACAAATAAGAAATACGTAAAATGAAAAATGATAATAGTAATAATCTCTAGATGGAGTAATTAGAGATAATTTTTGCTATCTTCTTTATGACTATTTTTTGCAACTTACAATTAGAAAATATCGTATATGTAAGTAATGTCTAAATATTATTATATAGTAGAAGAAAGGGTTACACCACTATATGAGAGGATAATATACAATATACTATTGTATGAAATACATATTACTATATATGTATTACATATACTATATTATGCTTATATTCTTATAAGAAGCTTACATCAGAGTTACCCAAAACATTCTCTGTTTAACCCAAGTCTGTTAGGATGACTCTGAAAAAGAGAACTATGTAGGGAAATTCATTTTGGAAAATGCATACTCTATCTCCAACTTAATGATTCACAACTTATATTAGCATACTAATAGTTTTGAAACATACTGCAGTAAAGAAAATTACTCAAGTTTGTATAAGCCTGCACTTTCCCAGCGTACTTGACCACAATATTCTTTGTAGACTTACTAAATAAGGTTTCATAGAACACATCTGGGGAAACCTCAAATCTCTTTAAAATTCCAGCTCACCCACTCAAAAGAAGGTCAATAATTTAAGGCTCTTAACTGAGCATTTCTTACAAGTATTTTTATGGTACACTGGTAAAATGAACCGTGTGTTTGAAATGTGTAAATAATTGGGCCTATATCTAAAAGGCACATTTTTTAAGTCCTGTAAGTATGTAGTGAAATGGGTAATGAGAAGGTGATTTCTATGAATTATTACTGCAAGTCTTCACATGGTTTTGCCTATTGATTTTAATGTTGAATATGATTAATTTTAATTTTGCTTTTGCCTCTAGGCTTTCTTACAGAACATCAATAATATTATAATTAAGAATATCAATTGAAGTAATACTAGAGCCATGTCACTTTCTTTTGGTCTGGGCTCTACTGCTTAAAATAAGATTAGTTCAATGACTTTATTTTCATACACAGGACATCAAATCAGCATACTGAATTTAACAATCCATACAAATAACTTGAAATGTAACTTGAATGTGCATATCCTCTCCATCTCTCTTCCTTCTAAACACTCGCCCTGCATTTAAACTAGCCCCTCTCGAATCTTTCCATTTACCTCAACGGCACACATTTTTTAGCCTCTTTGTCTCTCTTTTTTTCATTTTTCAGCTATAAAATAAGCAAAACAATGACACCTACCATCATATTTATGTACAAATTGAATAAGAGACTACATGAAGTATGTTTAGAACAGTGCCTGACATATACTATGTTCTCAGTGAGTGTTAGGTATGAATCTGATATGGGACATAATTATTTCTTTCCCTTCGTTCTTTTATGGGCAGCATTGCTTCCTCTCAGTTATGCAACTTGAAAATTGTAGTCACGTTGGGTTTATCTTTTTCTCTTCTCTAACCTACACACACACAGACACACATCATGAAAGATGCATACTATGTGATCTATTTCAAAGTCCTTTGAGTTCCTCCTTTGTAATCACTGTTAAATCTATCCTTTTAATTCCATTTTGTATCCTCACTACTATATCAAGGCTTGTTTCTTTACAATTGGACTAATGTAATGGAGAATTATATTATATCATTATTATATTATATATTAGGCTGTATAGAATTGGCCCTTCATATCCATGGATTCTGCATTTGAAATGAAATGAAATGAAAATGTTTTTTAAAAAATTAAAAAATACAAAAATAAAAAATAATGCAAATAAAAAATACAGTATAACAACTATTTTTGTAGCATTTACATTGTTAGGTATTATGAGTGTACAGGAGGATGTGCAAAGGATATATACAAATACTCCTCCATCTTATGTAACAGACTTGAGGTTCTACAGATTTTGGTATCTACTACGGGTCCTGGTACCAATCCCCCATGGATACTGAGGGCCAACTGTACTTGAAAATGATTTCATCCCCAACATGTTTTATAAACAATACGCTCTAAAAGTCTCCTTTGGTCCAGTCAGTTCTCAGCTCACGAGCTATCAATAACTGTATTTCTAACAGGATAAACTCTAATCACCAATGGTCTTCCAAGACTATTTCAGGCATTCTACAGATGGGCCACAAATTCTATTCCACACTCCTCAAATAAAGTCTCCACTCAAATTTTCATTTGTGCTGTGCCACTGGCATGAAATAATAATCAAATCTCTCTTCTCCATCTTTCTACGTGACATTACCTGGTCTTAAAGACTCAGCTTCAGTAACATTTCTTTATTAATGATCTCTGAATACTTTCATTCTTATGTAAACCTTTTACCATCTTGTAAATCTCTGGCAATTCCTAAAAATTACTTATTTAACATAGATCATATGTTTGGGGGAGAGGTATATGCTATTTTGAATATATGTATTGAATCTCCATATGTTTGGGCAGAAGCGTTCAGGAAAGGCAGGTCCATATCCAGAGTAAGCGTCTATTCTTGTAAGAACAAAGCACTGCCTCTTGCATGATAGACGTGATTCACTGTAATCAACTAGTTTGCTGTTGGATCTACCTGGAGAATTATGCCATAGTGGGGACTCAGGATTGGTATCTGCTGCTGAAAAACTGGGGATTCAACCATGGCTGTTGCCGCTTACATGGTGAGCGAAGTCTTTGCTGCAGAGTTCATGCACTGTAGAGCTCATGACTGCTATCCCTGCCACTGTGGCCATGAGCCTCTTTTCCCCAGCCACCCTTGTCCCCAGAGCTCACACACTGCAGAGCTCATGACTCCTATCCCTGCCACTGTGGCTGTGAGCCTCTTTCCCCAGCCACCCTTGTCCCCAGAGCTCATACACTGCAGAGTTTATGACTCTTATCCCTGCCACTGTGACTGCGAACCTCTTTCCCCAGCCACCCTTGTCATTACCCAATGGGCTTTGTCATGAGCCCACTGGGTAATGACAAAGGTGGCTGGGAAAAGAGCCTGGCTAGTATCCACAGAAAAGGTCATTCTAACCATTCCATTTATAACATTATTCTCTACTAAGTCACCTACTGGTGAATATTCACATGGCACACAAATATTTGAAAACATTTAAATATGTTATTTGCCCAATATGAGAGATCTATCCATATACCTCTTCCTCAGATCTCTATGTCACTAATTCTCTAACCATATTCCTTCCAAGTCCCTGATGATTTCTCATTCCAGAAAAAATAAACAAACAGGTCACTTGTTTGAAGTTAGGCCCACCAGGAAGATTTCTCTTCACCACTGTATCCAGAGATATCTCAGAAAGCAGCTGAAGTTTACAGCTGTCCACTTTAAGTTGGTTTCTATATATCATGCAAAACCACCTGTAAACCAGGCCTGAAATTTCTCTTCCTCATTCAATTGGTAATAGTGAATTCCTCATAAAACCAAAAGTATAGGCTGGGAGAGAGAAGGTAATGTAGCAAGAGTAGGGGCCATAGACATTTGAGATACTTCTCACATAAGTGACTTGTATCTTGAGGGCCTGCTTGAGTCCTGTTTCACATAGGTCACTTTCATCTGATAATGGAGTGCTGTTATATGATCTCAACCTTATGCTCTAATGAATCAGACAGCATCCAGTCCATGACAGGCAGCACAGGTCATATGCTAACTTAATAGGTGAATGGGTGTTATATGATAAATCTGCTTTAACATTTCAATCTCTCTAAGACTTTGGATACCTTCCCCTTCAGCATACCAAGGCCGTCAATCTTTCTGTCAGCCGTTCTCCTGGCCTTCCCCAAAGGCATCTATAATGAGAAGTGCCACTATCAAGCTGGGATTCCAAAATTAAACAGGCATAATTGGATCCTAGGTGTCAGGGAACAGGTGAGAACACTTAATCTCCACAGATAAGATGGAAGTGGACATGATTACCACAATGGGCAATGGAGTCAAAGCAGTAACCAGAACAGTTTGACTCACAGAGACCTATGGCAATGGCTAGTTGATGGTGGTGTCTTTAGAAGAGAAAAAGATGAACAGTCTACTACATTTTTGCTTCATCTGTATAAATGGAAAAGTTCTAAGTCTAGTGAACAGAAGTCCAGCTTGAATCACCAAAATAGTCACAACTCCTCAGTCAATTCCCAGACTTAAGCAAGTTTACAACACTTAACTTTTTGAATGATAAAAGAGCCTGGTGCTTTGAGGAAGGACCTTGTTATATTATCAAAATGAAGTCATGGAGGCCAGGACAAGCCAAGGTGATTCATAGTTGATATACTCTAAAGTGCTAAATGGCCTATAAGTATTTCTAAAAAGGACATAGCATTTATTTTGTTTTAATAATTTTATTACCCATCTTAAAATAATTGCAGAAATTCTTGGGTACTACTACATCAGGCATCAATTATCGGTACTTTGCAAAATACCTCTAAAATAATTTTTAATAAAAGGTTAACCCTACAACAGAAATTCTGTATTTATTCACAAATGAAAATAGCTCTGTGAACCTTGTTATCACCTAGATTAACACAATGCTTCAAGATAACAAAGCCTTCCAGGGTCTGGAGCGCAACATTGAATAGGCGTACAAGATAAAGTCAAATTATGTCATGTGTATACACCTGTGCACATACGCATGGGTATCTGCACACACTGCATCTGCACTTGTTTTTTCTTCTTAGAATCAGATGTTATTTCAAGCACAGGTGATTTAAGCTATGAAAGACCTTGAAATAATTTTGAGGTCCTGAATTTTCTTTGAGGCACTAGACTTTAATGCCTTAAAATAATTTTACATTTTTTACATTTTTTTAATGCAAACTGCTTGCAAAATAAAACTGCCTAATTTACATAATTGAGAAAAGTAGATAAAACTTGGATGGTCTGAGGAAATTTTATTGCACTGAAAGTGTGATTTATATACTACTTTGACTAGTGTATGGTTATCAGCTTAGCCAGCTGAGTGAGAACTATCCAGGTTTCCTAAAGGAGTCCCGAGTCTGCTTCCTCCCTGCTTGAAATGAGACAGAGGGACATATCTGCAGCCCTGGCAAAACTATCATAGTCTCTAACAACTAGTTCTAAAAAGACAAGGACTGATTAAAAGGTCAGTGATGTTATTGGCCATAGAGTAAGAAATATCTTGCTTTCTTATTCATTTACATGGAAACATTTGCACCTTACCATGCATGCATGCACACAGATATATTACTGTACTTGTCTGTCTTCCCTACTAGCCTGTGGGGTAGCATGACCTTCTCCTAGCCCAATTTAAATCCTATGATCCATCATTATCATCACTGCCCTGCATGAACCTTTGGTTTCCTGGCCCTTCTGCATTTGTTGTAATCATTGTTGGCAAAACCACAATGCACCCATGCAGCTGAGTGAACGTGAAGAAAACCATTCCACCACCAGATCGGTTTCACTTTAACTTAATGACAATGAAGCTTAGGGGTCCTTGATGCTGCCAGGTAATTAAACCATTTTTCACTAGTTCATGCATTTTCTCAATCTCCAGTTTAATGCATTTGCCTATTATACTAGTCTGCTTTGCATTACTATAAAGAAATACTTGAGGCTGGATAATTTATTTTTTAAGAGAGATTTATTTGGCTAATGGGTCTGCAGGCTGTACCAGCAGCATGAGGCTGACACCTGCTCAGTTTTCAGTGAGGCCTCAGGCAACTTTTACTCATGGTAGAATGCAAGGATAGCTGGTGTGTCAGATGGTGAAGGAGTGAAGAAAAAGAGGAAGAGGTTTCAGGTTCTTTTTAACAACCAATTCTCTCATGAACTAATAGAAATAAAACTCACTCATTGTCACAGGGAAGGCACAAAGCCATTCATGAGGGATCTGTCCCCATGACCAAACACCTCCTACTCAGCCTCACTCCCAAGATTGGAGGTCACATTTTAGCATGAGATTTAGAGGGGACAAATAACCAAACCATATCACCTCTCTATTCAAACCCTCAACACATCCTCTTCCAAGTTCATTCTCAGCTGACGATCTTATTATCTTCCTTCCTATTTGACTGAAAGAAAAAAAAATATTTCCACCACCACAGCTACTCACTTGAGTTCCCCAAATCTGTATTCCCTGTCATCCCCACAAATGAAACATTAATCCTCTTATCAAAGCTGATGCTTCTGCTTGTGTACAAGTTCCCACCCCACCCACTGATTCAAGGAATCCTCCAGCAATTTTCTTGCTCTTGCCTTTATCGTCAACTTTTCAGAATCTGTGAGATTGTAACTATAAGCTTAGAAACATGCTGCTATTTCTTTTGTCTTAAATTTTTTCTCTGTACCTCTCAAGCAACTGCACAGTGTCTTAGAAATCCTTTCAGGAAAACTTTTTGAAAGAAATGTCTCTACTTGCCTTTCCAATTATTATTCTCTCATTCACTCTCAAGCCCATTTTATTGCAGCTTTCACCTGACTACTTCACTGAAACCGCTCATGTCAATGTCCCCAGTGGTATCCATTTTGATTGGCAGCTCTTGACATGGTCACTCATTCCTTCTTACTTGAAATTCATTCTTCACTGGCTTCCAGAATGCCAAGCTCTTCTGGAATTTTCCTCTTCTCTCACTGGATTATCCTTGTCATTCTCTTTTCCTTATTTCTCCTCTTGTCCTCACCCTCGTAATTTGTGAGTGTCCAAGGGTTTAGTCTGTAGTCTTTATCTCTTCTCTATCTATAGTGTCTTTTTTTGGTGACTCTAGCTTTAAATCCTTGGGGTCATTCTTGATGCCTCAGTCTGTATTAGGTGGATGAGTCAGAAATCTCTTGGCTCTACTTTTTAAATATATGCTCAATCTACTGCCTCTTACTCCTGCACTTGTAACTGTCATTGTCTGAGTCCTCATGATGTCTTGATGTCATGAATCTTACCTGGATTATTGTCAGATTCTTAAATTGCAGCCCTACTTATACTTTTTTCCCTAGAGTCAATTCTCAACACAGTAGCCCAGGGGATCCTGTTAAAACAGAAGTCAGATAAGGTATTTTCTTTGATCAAAACCCTCCAGTGACTCATGATCTCAGAGTAAAACAAAGTCCCTGCAATTACCTAAGAGTCTATTTATGACATCAAATGTCTACACTCATCTCCTACTAACTTTTCCCTTCACTCTCCACTCTAGCCTAGTTTTTTTCAACCATACCAGGAACATTATTGTCTGTGGATATTTGCACTGGCTGTCCCTTGCACCTGAACCATTTTGCTCCCAATACCCTCATTGCTAACTTTTTCACCACCTTCAAATCTTTGCTCAAATTGATCTTTCTCAGTGGGGCCGTCTCTAATCACCCTATTGTAAATTACAACTTAACTCCTCACTGCCCCCATGCACTGTTCACATTCCTGACCCTCCCTACCCTGCCTTAATGTTTATTTCTATAGCACTAATCATGTACTGTTTTTTTTTTTGCCAATTTATGTTATTGTTTAATTGTCTGTCTTCTCACTACAGTTTCAGGCTCAAGGACAGGGATCTTTGTCTGTTTTGTTCACTGTTGCATCTCTAGCACCAAAAACAAGACCTAGAATACACTAAGTCCTTATGTTGCTTGATTATTAAATGAACAAGACAGTAAGAAAACCACTTTCCTGATCTCTTCCTCTTCCCCAGTAGATCACTCTCTTTCTTGGACTGTCTCTGCCCCTACATATGTCTTGCTAGTACATTCCATTCTTAGTGCTTTTATTATCTGTGTAACTGTCTGCCTTCTCCTCCAGAATGTAAGCAGCTACAGGGCGAGAACTGTCACCCATCTCTCTCTCTGCCTTAGTACAGGGCCTGTCACCCATCTGCATTCAATTAACATTTGTGAAAATAAAGTTTCAAGAAGGGATATTTTTTCTTTTAGAAACTTTATAGGTACATGATAGAAAGTTAGCAAAATTCAGAAGAGTAGAGAAAAGGATTAAAACAAAAATTAATACCCTCATAATCAAAGGTCAACATTTTGGTACATAGTCTTCCAATTGCTTTCTCAGGCAAATGTTTTGATATTTGCTTAAAAGACTTTTTATCTAGTTAAATTCATACTTCTACATATTTCTATGTCCTATTTCTTAGCCTCATTATAATAAGGATGAATGTGAAAGTTTAACAGTATTTTTAATGGATTTATTGTATTTCATCAAGTGGGTGAAACAGAATGCTTGCCAACTGTACTGTGATTAAATGGTTATTTCCAGCTTTTTAAACAATTTTTAAAGGGCTCCACTCAGGTTATTTAACAGATAGGCAACTTTCTCAAATATGATGGGCTACACTACAGAGGTGCCAAATTTTCCAGTTAATTAAATAGATGACACTATCCCAGTTTCACAGCATGAGAATATGGATTTAATTTGATGCCAAATGAACCAAGGGAGAAGGTGCCCCCTTCTCTCTAAAACAAATGGAAGTTTTAGTTTAAGGCTAAAGACACCATTTTTACAATTTTCACATTTCTTTTAGTAAATTTCCATCTGCCATCCAAAAAGACCTCAAATATTTGCAAAGGCACAGGTTGCTTTACATTTAAGAAAATAAGCTTCTAAGGGCCTTTGTTCTCCTCTGCCAGGTCTTTCTAAGCCAGGAGGAGTAAGTGACTCCTAACCTTTACTTTTTGACACAAGAGTCAGATTTATAACAGATTCAGACTCTTGGGGTAGCTGCTAACTGAAGTTCCTGCAGAAATAGTGCTGACACACCTCAGTGCCCGAGGCTGTTTCATCTACAGGTCTGGGTGAGAAAGAGTGAGCTAGGTGGAATTTCTTTTCTTTTTTATTATCCTTAGATTTTAATCCTACTAATTCTGCAACAGGAAGCTCAAATTAAAGTGCAAATTCAGTATTGTATTGTGATACTTTTGCTTAATTTAACCTTCCTACAGACATATTAAACAACGAATATACAATTCCACTTTACACTTTCAAAAACAATTGTTCCAATTAGCTAATACAATATAAATTTAATTACTGAATTGAAAACATGCATATAGGTTTGTCTACTAAATCACTGGGTTGTTTTCATGAGTGAAACCTAAGAAAGGTTGTTTTGATTTCCTGGAAATGAGATATTCATGATCTTTTATTCTCATCTTCTAGGAGACTGCTAAGAACTGATATTTTAATTTATGACTAGAATTACAAGAAACATTACCAGGTTTTAGGAGTTTTGACACAATATACAAAGCAGCTACAAAACTGAAGATGTTAGGAAACTAAAGTTTTGTTCTAGTTCCAAGTGACTTATCTTTATTTTTTAATGTAAAATCGCATAATGTTAATAGCTACCATTTATTTAAACTTTTCTACGTATCTAGTACCATGATAAGCACTTTTAAAATATTGTTATTTAATTTCCCTAAAAACTCTGTGAGGTAGGTATTATTTCATCCATTTTACAGATCAAAAAATTATGACAAAAAATTTAACCTGCCCAAAATTACACTGATAAAAAATGGTAAAATTATTAAACTTAGAGCCTACATAGTGACAATGTTCTTCCCCTCATTTCTGTCTCTGTCATTCTTTATCTTGTTTCACCCTTTTGTACTTTTTTCTGAATATATATCTCTTTATGACACCTCTTAACAATTCCTTCTCTTTTACACTCTTCTTTTTTTATGCTGACCATAATGCAGAGCAAAAATTTATTTTAATTGTAACTTTTGTTATTTTTGTGTTTTATAGTCTAACTTTAAACATGTGATAGCAATGTTTTAAAATAGCTAAAAAACTTGAAATCAGTTGTTTTCTTTATTGAAAGAGAACATTTAATTTTATTTCTCAACTTATCCACTCTTAAAATCTCTGTCTTTTGATCACTGTATTTAAAACATTGACATTTAAAGGGATTGTTAATATAGTTGAATTAACATCTACTTATTTGCAATTGTTTTATATTAGTTGCATTTGTTCTCCGTTTCTTTCTCTCCCCTGCCTCCACCCATCTGCCTTCTCTGGTTTGGTTTGATTCCATTTTTCTCAGCATAACAATCACATTTTTAAAAAATTGTTAACAGTTGTCCTAAAGTTAAGAGTATGCATTTTTTAACTAATCTAAGTGCCTTTTTTCAAATAATATTATACTGCTTCACATGCAGTGCAGGTACCTTATAACAGAATATCTCCAATCCCTCCCTCTGTTCCTTGCGACATTGCTGTTGTTCATTTCCTTACCTATATGCTATACATTGTATTAAATTTTATTATTACTTAAAATACACTGTAATATTTTAGAATTAATTTTTAAAAGATTTTATTTTTATCTTTACTTATTCCTTATGTGATGCTTTTCCTTTCCTTATATAGATCCAAGTTTCTGACTTGTATAATTTTCTTTCTCTCTGAGAACTTTCTTTAAAAACATTTCTAACAGGGCAGATCTGTGGGCAATGAAATCCTTTCACTTTAGTTTGAGAAAGAACTTCTTCTTTACCTTTGAAAGATAAGCTCACTAGATATAGAATTCTAGGTTTCTTTTTAACACTGCATATTTTACTCCACTCTCCTTGCTTTCATAATTTTTGACGAGAAGACTGATATAATTCTTTTTATTTTGTTTTGTTTTAATCCAGCTTTTATTGGTGTGGTTCACATATTCAAACACTGAATGTTTAAAATCATTTTTGGAATATCTAGTGGATATATGTGTCGTTGAGTATGTGCATGTAGTATGTGCATGTATGTTTGTGTGTAGATATGTCTACACATGCCTGGATATACATGCATGTAGGTCGGTGTGTATGTGTGCATGTAGGTTGGTGTGTATGTGTGCATGTGTCTATATATGTGTGAACATGTGTGTATGTATATGTTACCAGGTATGTTTGTGGTTTGTGTTTATATGTGTATATTCATGTGCATGTGTACATATGTGTGTATTATGTGCATATGATACTATTTGTTCTGCAATCTATGCCCAAACATCACAAATGTGACAAATGTCACGGTGACCACAGGAAAGAAGAGTTCATGCCAGTTACATTTTCAGAAAAAAGAAAAAACTCACCTTTCTGCACAGGGTCAATTGGAAGACACACAGTTACAAAACAAGTGATCTGGTTTGTACATTGACTAACAATATTCATTTATTGACAGCTTCTATTAAATTGATTGTCAGTTTTTCTTGGTCTGATATCAGTTCAGTGATGTCAGAAAGACAATTTCTGTTTTAAAACTCCTACTAATTTGAACAGCATTTTTTGTTAGGTTTGAAAAATATATTTTTATACCCATGCATTTTATTAGTATACTGACTTCCTATTTTTTCCATAATTATTATTTTAATTTTCTTTTCATTCTCTTTTTTTAATTTTTATTTGAGGTTCAGGGTTACATGTGCAGGTTTGTTATATAGGTAAATTGCAGATCATGGAGGTTTGATGTAGAGATTGTCACCAAGGTGAAATATCGTACCCAAATGGCAGTTTTTCTATCCTCTCCCTTGTCCCACTTTCCAACCTCAAGTGGGCCCCAGTGTCTACTGTTCCCTTTTTTGTGCCCATGTGTTCTCAATTTTAGCTCCCACTTATAAGTAAGAACATGAGGTATTTGGTTTTCTGTTCCTGTGTTAGTTCACTTAGGATAATAGCCTCCAGCTCCATCCATGTTGCTGCAAAGGACATAATCTCATTCTTTTTATGGCTGCATAGTATTCTACGATGTGTATGTACCACATTTTCTTTATCCAGTCTACTGTTGATGGGCATCTACATTGACTCCACACCTTTGCTGATGTGAATAATGCTGCAATGAACATACATGTGCATGTATCTTTATGGTAAAATGATTTATATTATTTTGGGTATATATCCCAAAATGGCATTTCTGGGTTGAACACTAATTCTAAGTTCTTTGAGGAATCACCAAACTGTCTTCCTCAATGACTGAACCAATTTACATGAGTTCAGTGTATAAGCATTCCCATTCCAGCAGTGTATAAGGGTTCCCTTTTCTCCACAGCCTCGCCAGTATCTGTTATTTCTTGACTTTTCAGTAATAGCCATCTTGACTGGAGTGAGATGGTATCGCACTGTGGTTTTCATTTGCATTTCTCTAATGATTAGTGATGTTCAGTATTTTTTCATATGTTTGTTGACTGTGTGTATGTCTTCTTTCGAAAACTATCTGTTCTTGTCATTTACCCACTTTATAATGGGGTTATTTGTTTTCTGCTTGTTAATTTGTTTAAGGGTTGTTTGGTTCCTGATTGTTAATTTGTTTAAGTTCCTTATAGATTCTGGATATTAGTCCTTTGTCAGATGCATAGTTTGTGAATATTTTCTCCCTTTCTGTAGGCTGTTTACTCTGTTGACAGTTTCTTTTGCTGTGCAGAAGCGCTTAAGTTTAATTAGATCCTATTTGTCAATTTTGTTTTTGTTGCAATTGCTTTTGACATCTTCATCATAAAATCTTTACCAGGGCCTATGACTATCCAAATAGGAATACAGGAAGTCAATCTATCCCTGTTTACTGACAATATGATTCTATACCTAGAAAAAAACCCATAGTGTCCTCCCCAAAGCCCCTTGAGCTGATAACTTCAGCAAAGTTTCAGGATTAAAAAAAAAAATCAATGTACAGAAATCAGTAGCATTCCTATAAACCAACAACATCCAAGGCCAAGAAAGAACACAATTCCATTCACAATAGCCATGAAAAGAATAAAATACCTAGAAATACAGCTAACAGAGAGGTGAAAGATCTCTACATCAAGAATTACAAAACACTGCTCAAAGAAATCAGGGATGACACAAACTAATGGAAAAACATTCCATGCTCATGGATAGGAAGAATCAATATCATTAAAATGACCATACTGTCCAAAGCAATTTATATATTCAATGCTATTCCTATCAAACTAGCAATAACATTCTTCACAGAATTAGAAAAAACCTATTTTAAAATTTACGTAGAACAAAAAAAACAGCCCAAATAGTCAAGGCAATCCTAAGCAAAAACAACAAAGCTAAAGGCATCATATTACCCAACTTCAAACTATACTACAAGGTTGCAGTAACCAAAACAGCATGGTACTGGTACAAAAACAGATACATAGACCAGTGGAACACCATAGAGTACACAGAAATAATGCCACAAAATCATCTGGTCTTTGACAAAATTGACAAACACAAGCAAGGAGGAATGGACTCCCTATTCAACAAATGGTACTGGGATAACTGGCTAGCCATATGCAGAAGATTGAAATGAACCCCTTCCTTAGACCAAGCACAAACATCAATTCAAGGTGGATTAAAGGTTTAAGTGTAAAACCCAAACTATTAAAAACTCTGGAAGATAACCTAGGAAATACCATTCTGGACAAAGTCTAGTATATTTCTTATCCTTGTAAAGATTTTTATTTTGCCCTTCTGGCTTCTTTCAAGATTTTTTATTTTTCTTCCCTTTTTACTTTGAGCACGCTTCCTCAGAGAGTCTGCAGATGGCAGCTTTTTCAGCTATAATCCATTGCTATTATACTGCAGCCTGTCATGCTAGTAAAGTGTGAGGGAGAAGAAGTGTTTTATAATTTATGATTCAAGCCCAGTCTTTTAGTATGCCTGTGCCTTCAGCAAGTGTCCTTCACAAGTCCCACCACTCTTAGGTGAGAAAAAAAAACTAGAGGGGGAGCAATGTCCTTAACCTGAGGTGGGATAATGCCTGGTAACGTCTGCTAATGGAGTATAGGTCATTGTTGAGGAAATATTCTGGGTTATTTAATAATAAGTACTCTTCCCCTTCCCCTGCCAGAGTTATGAAGGGATTTCTCAGATCTTCACAAGAGTCTTGTATTACTCCGTTTTCACATTGCTGATGAAGACATATCCAAGATTGAGTAATTTAGATAGAAAAAGAGGTTTAATGAACTCACAGTTCCATGTGGCTGCGGAGGCCTCACAATCACGGCAGAAGGCAAAAGGCACATCTTACATGATGACAGGCAAGAGAGAATGAGGGCCAAGGGAAAGGAGAAACCCCTCATAAAACCATCAGATCTCATGAGACTTCATCACTACTAGGAGAACAGTATGAGAGAAACCGCCCCCATGATTCAATTATCTCCCACTGGGTCCCTCCCACAACACGTGGGAATTATGAGAGCTACAATTCAAGATGAGATTTGGGTGGGGACACAGCCAAAACATATCAAGCCTAGTAGGGTTCCTTGATGTAAATTCTAGGACAGTGTGCCCCCTGCCAATACCATGACCCCCAAGAGTATTATACTCGCATGCTAGTCCACACACAGCCCCCAGCAATTCATCAATATTATCATTTAAGTGTTTCTATCAGCTTCTGCTCCAGGAAAACAGATCTCACCTGTGACTATGGATGCATCTGTTTCTTTAGATTTTCAGGTGGTAGTATGACCTGTAACCTCAGTTATCTAATGGGTGAAAGAAAGCTGTTGATTTTAAACTTTTCCAGCCTTTTCTCATAAAGATAATGAGAGCAATGATTTCCAGACTCTTTAAATCAATGGATTGGAACTAAAACCAGAAGTCCTTCATAAAATAAATATTTTTTATTGAACTAAACATTTTAAAATTGAAATAGAGATAAATAGAAGAATTTTTTTTATTTTTATTCCACTTAACTGTCATTTAACAACACTCAGAAATCTATCACAAATAAATCAAATATCCAAGGAGAGCTGCACCTAAACCACCTGGAATCTACATAGCCATCAGCTATGGAATCTTTATAGCTTCTATGAACGAGATAAATATAGAACACTGATTGTATTAAATATTACATCTTTTCATGACTCTAGGTTATTTTGCTAATAGAGGCATTTAGACACATTTTATTGGAAAACATTGTACTAACCTCTCTTAAGGTTATCCTCAAAGTGATATATCCAAAGCATGCCCTCCTCTTGACAATCTACTTTAGGCACATTATTTTATCTTCATTGTTGATAAAAAGCAGTTGGCTATAATAATAAAATTGGGATATCTTTGAATTTCCTAATTTTCCTTGTTGAACATTTCAAGATATAAGCTACTATGGAAACTTCTCTGGACTGAATTCTGATCAACAATAAACAGTTAACTAGGAAGTAGAACTTATGTGAACTGTATAGTTAAGTTGTACTCTGCATTTTAAAGTCAGAATGGAGAAGGTTCTGCAGAAACAGATGTTTATATAGGACTACAGAAAAAAATAAATTTTTAAAGGTTTAAACAAGGAGTGGGCTAGATTATATGGTATATTCAAATGGGGCTGACGGCTTAACAGAATTGAGACACTCTAAGAAGGCAAGAGAACAATTTAGAAAATGGCCAGCAAGGCTATAAAAGAACATGACTTCATGTTTTATGAAAAATATCTAAGAAACAAAGATTGTTTAACCTAGAGAAAAGGAACTTGGGCATTAGGAGAGCTGCTTTAAATATTAAAGACAAGGACTGAAGTGTAAGAGAGAGCTTTTTCACACTTAGTATGGCCCCATATGATTACAAGTGATAACAATAGTACCAATACTTAGAAATTACAGGAGTTATAGGAAGTTGTTAAGACATCCTAATAATCAGAAAAGTTCAAAGATGGAATAGGCTCCCTCTGCCTTATCATCAGAGGTATTAAATCAAGGCAAATAATTACATGTCCTTTGTTTTGGAGTTACTTTAAATCCTTCCTGAAAAAGGAAGGCAAAGCAATAATAAATATTATAAACATAATTTTGTCTTTGTATCCCTAATCACTAGCAAGTTGCCTAGAACATGGTAGGTGCCAAAATCATATTTATTGAACCAGCTCAATTAATAGACAAAAAACTACCTGAAGAAGGGGAGCAAAGTTGCAGAGGGGATTCAGGTTTTGAAAGGATGGTTAGATTGATGAACTTGGAATCTTTTTCCTCTGACCAAAAGATTCCATGATTGTATATGTTTATGTAAATATTCTTCTAGTAATAAAATAACAGTGGGCACTCTGTATTTCTGTCAGACAGTTTTAAGTTAACCAAGCTCTTTTATATACATATACCACTTTATCCCCCATACTAACACTTAAAGACATAAAAGGTGAGGCAGCCACAGCCAGACCATTTGGTTATTTTGTCAATACTCTATTTGATAAACAGTAGAGGCAGGATTTGGACCTTTGATTCAAAGGATATTCAACTTCCTCTTTATGAGATGAAATTCAGAATAATTAAAATAGTCGCTAAAACTTACTGAAAATGTAAATGTGACTGACCTGTCTAGGTCTTTTGCATGTATTCTGTGAGTTGATCCTCATATAACTACATCACAAAGATAACAGTATTATCCCAGTTTTACCAATGAAGCCAAGAAAATAGAGAAAGAGTAATTTGCACAAAATTACATAATTTAATGTCAGAGTAGAGATTCCAACTCAAGGCAGTCTGACATTAGGAACTGTGCTCTTAAACACTACATTATCTTAAGCTGCTGTGACAATCTCTGGTATATCTCCCATCAAAGTCACTGTTTAACTGATTAACCAGAATACTAAGTCTCCAGATCTCAATATGGACCTAGTGTAATCACTGCACATATATTGGGTGGCATATGGGCATCATTGCTTATTCAGTGGTAATAGTACTGTGTGATTCCATTATTCACTGTTTCACTTTTTACTTGTCTTTCCTCAGCTTTTCAAAATGTGGAGCCTACCACAAACTCTTTGTGCAAAGTAATTTACAAGTTCAATCTGCCTAGTCCATTTAGGTACCAGATATTACCGCATCAGCTCTACTGGATCTTGAAACCAACTCTAGTTAATGGAGGCAATGTTACTGCCATATATTATCAAATCTAATATATGAGAATGGTAACTAAAATAACATGGAGAAAACGAGAAGCTGTTCAGTTATATCTCGGCATTCACAGCTTTCTTTCCTTTCCCTTGTACCTGAAGTAAAGAAATCCTTCTAAAATTAAAATCCTGGAAAGAGAATATTGACAGCAATTTTCCTCTAATAAAAACAATGTTAGCACCAGCTGGACCTGTCTTAAAGAGCATCTATATACTTATACATATATATATATATATATATATATATATATATACACACACACACACACATACACATACATATATATATATATATATATATATATATATATATATATATATATATATATATATAGTTAACGGCCTTCCCAGAGGTCATGGAAGAAAACAAAAGTCATTTTAAAAACAATGCACTAAAGTTATGCACTAAAATGTTAGCCACAGTTATTTTGACTTGTAAAGTTGTAAGCAATTTTGTTTTTTGTCTTGTATCCCTCTGTGTGTTTTAACTTTGTCAGTAATCCTATATCACTTTTGTAGCCAGATATATAAATGTTCTTGACAGGAAAATAAGAAAGCACCTACCTTAATCATTCAGTACACTGTGCAAACCTGTCAAAGAAGGAGAATATTCTTTAAGGTTAGAAACTGTATAATATAATACATAATGAGAACATAGCATGAATTATGCATTGCTAAAACCTGAAGATAATAAGATAAAGACAAAATCTCCAATCTTAAAAACCCAAGTCTAGTAATTCTCATCTAATTTTCCTCCTACTGTTTCTTCTATTTCTATTAATACCACACCATTCACTAATTTGCCAAACTTCTAAACTGCAATTATTTCTGATGTTGCTTTCAACCTTTCCCATGAATCTAATCAGAGATCATGTCATATTTATTCCACCTTCATAATTTTTCAAATACCTCCTCTCTACTTTGTTCCTAGTTCACTAGTACCCCCATTAATTATTGCTATCATTTTTCAATCATAGGACGTTTTAACTAAAAATATCTAAGAGAATTTTAAATAACTACTTCAAATCTTTCGGGAAAAAATAGAACTCACCAAAATTAAACTTCTTGACTCCAAATAATAAGTGGTAAAACTAGGTCCTGAACCATTCTTCATGGCTCTGGATTTAATGAACTTTTCACCACACCTGTCTTAGCTCATTTTTTGTTGCTATAAAGGAATATCTGAGGCTGTGTAATTTATAAGGAAAAAAAGGTGTACATTATATAATAGCACACACTTCAGCAGATTGTACAAGAAACATGGCACCAGCAACTGCTTGGTTTCTGGGATGGGGCCCAGGCTACTCACTAAAAGGCAAAAGGAAATTGCCAGGCAGAAATCACATGGTGAGAGAGGAAATGAGAGAGAGTGGGGAAGGTGCCAGGCTCTTTTTAACAACCAGCTCTCTTGGGAACTAACAGAGCAAGAACTTACCGCCAAGGGCGGCCATTTATCTATTCATGAGTGATCCTACCTCATGACCAAAACAGCTCCCATTAGGCCCACCTCCAACACTGGAGATCACATTTTACCATGAGGTTGTGATGGGACAAACATAAAAACTATAGCGACACCATAATATCTGGTTTAGAATAATTATAGATGATTTATGGATTTTCTCTGGGTTATACTAGGATAGGACTACTTTTCAAATTATACCTAGTGTTTTCCCACTTTCACTTTTATAACTCACTTAGACTGTTCTATCTAATATGAATGTCTTTGAAGCCACCCTGATTCTTCAGCTGGACAGACTTGGTTATATTCAAGGGATTATGTGGACAATGTGTCACCTATCTACATACAGATTCTTTGCATCATTTATCCAAGAGTCTGACATTAAATTATGTAATTTTGTGCAAATTACTCTTTCTCTACTTTCTTGACTTCAGTGGTAAAACTGGGATAATACTATGATCTTTGTTATATAATTATATGAGGATCAACTCAGATAATACATGTAAAAGGTGCCATTTCAAGCCTCTTTAGGAATCCATGATGAAAAAAGGTGCTTCCTTTTCTCATCACAGCCTTCTCATTGCAATTTGTTAAGAAATTTGAAGATCTCAGAAGGAAAAATTATTTGGCCATAAAATGTCTTCCAGATGAACTTTATCATAAGCATGTGGAAATTTTAAAAAACTTAACAATGGTGTTTCTACTGAAGAGAATTGTGCAGTCCAGATGGTTCCCTGATTTGACATGCATGAGTCAGCAACCCTACAACCCAAATTTGCCTTTCCTTTCCATGCTGGCATGTACGGAGTCTTTGACAAGGAATTCGAAGTTTGAGGTCTCATTTTATCTTTGTCTGCTATTCAGCCAATGTATGAAACATCCATTTCACTTCTTGGTTTGCATCTCTGTAAAGAACTCCCCTATTTGAAGTTTCTATGGATGGTTGGAAATGGGGACCTAAAAAAACAGACTAGAGAGAATCTAAGTGAGCAAGCCCTGATTGCTTCATACAATTTAGGTTGAATAGCAGAAAACAAAAATCTAGCTTTATACCATGATAGTGTGTATACTACCTGAACACTTTGGAACTTGTAGCATAATTTGATTTAATATGGTAATGAGAAATGTCAGAATTTAGATAGAAAAAAATAGCATCAATTATTCATTGGAGGAAAGAAAACTTTTTAAATATAGAAAGTTGCTTATTAGATATTCCCTTTGGTTAAATCAAAACTTTAGATTTGCCTAATGAAGATAGCTATGGCTTTGGGGCCATAATATTCCATTTGATAGACTTTGATTAATAAATGTGACTTAAAGGAAGATTTAAAATATTCTATCTTTGAGAAGTGTTCAATCAGATGAACAAAAGGTCTTCAAATATTTAAATTCACTGGTGGAGATTTTATACAAACTTACCCAAAGCACTGCTTTAATCCCAACTTTTTTTTTCTAATAAAATAAAAGACCTTGCTGTGCTCAAAGGCACAGATCAAATCCCAAGGATTAAGATTTAAATGAGAAAGCAATTAAAACAAGCCTTCTGACAGAGGTTTCAGATGGTATGGTAAAGAAGTTGGACACATTACCATTGAAAAAGATAGAAAATTAGCTTTTAAAAATACTAATACTTCATTTTCCTCCAAAATAATGGTTCTGAATTTATAAGGCTATAAAAATCTCTGTGAGAGGAAAGTAATCACTGGGCCACCTGAGCCACACATTTAAATGTCAGTGAGAAAAGCACACTGGAAACTGCACTCTTGGTTTGTTTTCACTCACTGTATTACAAGCATGATCCTCAGAATACAGTAAAACTGGTATGTAGGAGGGCATGGGTATTAGCAAATTAAATTCCATGGCTAAAATAAAAATGCTTGACTAACATGTTTCATATTTTTTACAAGAAACACTGCAAAAAAATTAAAAATAGCTTACTTCACAGCCTTATTAAAAGGATAAAACAATGCTGCTGCTGCTGCTGATTTCATAATGGTAACAGTAATACGCCTAATTATCCTTGGATGTTTTTGTGTTAGCAGCAGAATGATGTATCTCAGTCACATAGCACCAAAGTATATTACCAGCAATGAATCCATATGGGTCTGCAGTAACTTCAATTATTGCCTCATCAAAAGAAAGAATTCTACTGAGGGGCATAGGCAGAAGGAGAGAAGAAGGTAAGTTTCAGAGCAGGAGTGAAAGTTTATTAAAAAGCTTTAGAGCCAGAATGAAAGAAGCAAAGTACACTTGGAAGAGGGGAAAGCCAAGCAGGCCACTTGAGAGATCAAATGCATAGTTTGATCTTTTGACTTGGGGTTTTTATATGTTGGCATACTTCTGCGGTCTTGTGTTCCTTTTCCCCTGATCTTTCCCTTGGGGTGGGCAGTCTGCATGCACAGTGGCCTGCTAGCAATTGGGAGGGGAGCATGCACAGAGTGTTTACTGGAGTTATATGCATGCCCACTTGAGGAATTTTTCCATTTTTCCCTTCCTCTAGGAGTGTTCCTAGAGGAAGATCTGCTGCCATTTTGCCTCTTAGTGTGCATGCTTGAGACCACTCGCCCAACTCCTGAAATCTCATTGGGAAGCTGCTCATCACCACTTTCAAGTTTATTTTTATCTAGTGGAAGATCCCCCTTCCCTGGAGCTGGCTGCGACCAATTATTATTTTAGAGGAACACTTAAGAACCACCTGACTAACACCTGATGGTTGCCTGACATTCCTTGTTGAGGGCAGGGGGAGCCCTCTCCTGCCCTGCTCATGGCTGACTAGCTACCAACTGTAACCCTTGGGTAGGGATAACTCATATCAACTTTAATTTTGTGATCTAGAAATGTAATGTTGGACATAGAAAACATAGAATATTCATCTTTTTCTGTTTTATATAAGGCTTTCCCCTAGGAATATTTTGTAAACCAAATTTCTTATATCGGTTTATTTTCTTATTTTTATTTTGTTATTAGTAGAATTTAGTAATTAAAAGTTCTGGATATTTGACTTTCCATAAACCAAAGTCTATGATATAATTCCCTGGAATTGATAAAGATACAATACAATCGGTAGCATTAACAAAGAAATTAGAAACTTTATCAGAAAGTGTTTTATTTCAAATAATCTAAAGCTGACTTTGAATTTAATCCTTCTGCTTTTATTAGGCATGAATTTAGATTAGGTACAAAGTAGATCCTGAAAGTATTATTCCATTGTTATTAGGTTTTAAAAAATGAGGAAGGAGTACGAAATAAAAATCAAATATTTGCTGTCTTCTATCTTGAAAAATGTGCATAAAGTCAAGAAAAAATCAGTTAAAAAGGGTTTTATGTTTGTAGTATTACAATTCTAGAATATATAAGACAATAGAGATCTAAAATGTCATTTTATATTGCCAGCGATGAAAATCCAGAGTGTAGTTTCCTGATAGAAGCAACATGGTAATCTTAACACAGTGCATGTCAGGAAGGAGGCAAAGGTGATGGAAAATGCCGCATCTGAAGTGGAAGTCCTTGTATCTACCTATTTACCTTTGTTCAGGAATACCTCTCTGAGTTTTCTTTGAGGAAACCACATCTCTCTCCTTTTCAATCTTTGTGGAGCTAACTTCACCCCAAGCCTCCAGGGAAGATATGATTGGTCCCAATTGCAGCATCATTGCGCTGAAAGCAATGAATGACACCATGAAGAGTAACTATGTATATGTTGTGGTTGCTAAAAGATTGCCCAGTGCTGCTCTTCCACTGACTCTTGTGGAGCTGGTATTTAGTAATATATCATGTGTGTATCTATCCATCTGATTTATATAGTCTTCTCCAGACTGCTGTTAGAAAGAAATCCTGAAGTTGTAAATTCAGGCCTGAGAAAAAGATGCCCTGTCCTGATGTACAGAGAAGGGGTTCAAAGCAATCTAGGAGGCTTGGTATTTAATATGCCTCTAACTTCACCCTGGGTGGTTGGGTTCAAAAGAAAGGATAGTAAAACCTGTAGTCCACAAGCACAGCAAAACACCCTTGAAAGAAACTAATGACATCTTTAGAAGTCTTCGCATTTGTATCAGGAGCAATAAAGCAATGTCCATTATCAGTGCTTCTAGTTAGCATTGTACTTGAGGTATTGGCAAATACAGCATGACCCAAAAAAATAAGGAAAATAAATATTTGGAAAGGAAGAAACAAAACTATAACTTATCTTGGGTCACATTTTCTACATAGAAAATTCAAATACACAAGTTATTAAACTAGTGAGATAAGTCAGTAGGATTGCTGAATATAGATTTAGTGTACAAAATCAACAGCATTTCTATAAATCAACAATTAGAAATGTATAACTTTAAAATGCCACTCAAAGTAGTAATGAAAACTATAAAATATCTAGCATCTAACAAAAGATATGTAAGCCCTTTGCAAATATATATATATATATATTTGCTTTATTAAAAAGCATAAAATAACACCTAAATAACTAGAGAGATATGCTACATATTTTAGACTGGAAAAAGCAATTTCAAGAAGATGTATTAATTCTTGACAAATTCAAAGCAATTAAAATCAAAATGCCTGCACAATTTCTCCTGGAGATGATGAAGGGATTCTAAAATTACTACAAAAAAAATAAATGATTGCAATCAAAACACTCCTAAAAATCAATATGAAAACAGTTCCAATGATTGATGCAGGTAGCTTGTCTTCTTAGCCATCAGAAGATATTACAGAGCTATAGTAATTATGTTAGCATGCTGTTGGGCCAGGAATATACAAAAAGAACAATGGAACAGAAGAGGAAATATATATGATAGATGATGCTGGAACAAGTGATTATTCATAACGTATATACTCCCTACCTCATGCCACATACACAAATGAATTCCACATCAATTAAAAACTTAAATTTTAAAAGCAACTTCAAGGCAATTTACACTTTTAGAAGAAAATTTAGACCTACAGTAGAAGAAAATCTCTTTAAAAAATACAAAAATTCATAAGAAAAATACTTGATAAATTTGACTACTTTTGAATTAAAAAATATCTGTATAAAACATTATCAAAACGTTAAAACTCAAGCAGAAGGAGGGAAGATATCTGCAGTGCTAATAATCATAAGCAAATAGTCTCTAGAATACATTAAAAATTCTTAAAATCCACTTAAAATAAAAATAGAAGGATGAATAAAAATATTAATGTCTATATAAAATAAAAATAATAGAAAGATAGATAAAATATATTTTCCTTTTTAGTAACTAAACAGGAAAGTTAAAATCACCAAAGTATAAAAAGGTGTTTCACCTGACTAATAAACAGTAAAATTCAAAATAATAAATAATAAAACCATAATGATACTACTCCACATCCAATACAGTAACAAAAATTAATGCCTGTTGGCAAAAATGCTGGAAAGCAAGAACTCATTCATTTCTGATGGGACTATAATGTGGAAAGTAATTTGGAAATATCCACTCAACTTGAAGAATATAATCTGTGATCCACAACTCCATGTCTAGAAATTTACCCTAAATAAACATTTACACATTTTCAGTAGGAGACACATTCAGAAACAATAATTATAGAGCTGTTTGTAACTGTGAACAAAGTGAAGAAAGGACCGTATACAGTTAGATTCATTTATTTATGAATAATATCAACAATGACAATGAGCCACATTTCCATGAATAAACAGAGACAAATTTCAAAAACATTAGGTTGCATGAAAAAGCCTGTTTCAAAAGATAACAGTCAGAGTAATATAATCTGTATAAAATTTAAAACATACAAATTATATAATTTATATATATATATTTCATGTCAGACATTGTTATTTGCCTGCTCAACATTTATTTTCTCCTTCTTGATTACTAAAGTATTCCATTTTGTTCAGAGTGGTGGTGTGTTCACTTAAAAATACTCATACCCCAAACTCCTTGCAATTAGGGATGGCCATAGCCCAAGTCTAGCCAATAAGAAGGTCAAAGAAGCCTATTAGTAGAGCTTCTGGCTTAGAGTATTATTATTCTGGTCAGTCGGAGCAGACTCAGCTACCACATGACTTTTGCCTAACCCCCAACCTCCATGTTTCTCTCCAACACAGATGCAAAGCCCAAAAGTAATCTTCTGACTATTAGCATAAAAGCTGAGTGATAAAATGATACAGTAGGAAGCTAGAAGGTGTATCTGATTGACAACGTGAAGTCACTGATTTGCATCAGATTCCCTTCAGTGACTTCTAACCCATGTTTCTCATATGCACTGTCAGAGATAATCACACGTGACTGCTTTGTTGGTTTTATCCCTAACAAATGTGAGAACAGTAGAAATAAGAAATAAAAAGAAGATAGACACCAAGATTTAAGGGATAGGGGGCTTTCGTTTTCACCATAATCTGTAACTCTTTTCCTCCACAAATTATAAAACCGATGAAAATTTTCCCCTTCCTTTCTGCCAGAGTGCTAGCCCTAGGCACTTTTGATTCAGAAATTCTAAAACTACTCTGAAGCTGAGGGAGGTGGAGAACATGGGAAAGTGACAAGGAGCAGTTCAAGAGGCGTGCAAAAAGAAATGTCAAGTAACTTATGGATTCTGTGAGTGAGAAAAATTCTAACTTATGGCAAGTAACAACAAATCAATCTGGACGATGAGCAAAAGAAGTGCATAGGCTGCTTGCTAGCCAATATAGATGACCTCAAACCTTGTTTCTACCCGGTTTCCTTCTCTATTCTTCAGCAACTGTAACTCACACAATTATATACTTAAACTCCTTGATTGCTGTCTGTTCCTCATACAGATTTGGAATGACATTTTGAAGTTGCAAAATTACTGGTTTTAAATTTGCTTTATTTTGTTTTAAAAACAGTAACAATATTAGAACTTAGATCCTTGCCAAAGATTGGAGTCTCTAGAATCAGATGTTGCAGCCAGGCACAGTGGCTTACACCTATAAGCTCCTTGGAAGGCTGTGGGGGGAGGATCCCTTGAGCCAGGAGTTTGAGGCTACAGTAAGCCATGATGTAGAATCGGATGCTTAGAAAGTTTGTTGTGCAGAATATTTACTAGGGATCAATGCCTGTGAGAATGGAAGAAGAAAGAGAGGAGATAGGATTGGACAGAGGGAGAAAATGAAGTACAGAGCCAACTAAGCCTTTCTGGCTCCTCAGGGAATTCTGGAGGTATATGGTTCATCAGTGTCAACTCACAGGGGCCAGATAACAGCTGGCCTCTATCCCGCTGCAGTTTATCTCCTTCCACTCATTGATATGATCATCCTGGGAAAGACATGCTTTTGGATAAGGGGAATCTCTAAAGCTGAGGTGAACCCTAAAGGAGCTGAAAACTGGGGGCTCTCAACAGATTGTACTCTCGGCAGCTGGGAAAATACACCCTTCATTGAAGTGGGATGAAGGCAGTACATCTCGGGCCCCCACAATTCTTATCTGAGCTCTGCTATAAATATCTATGAGCACTTGGATAAGCCACTTAATAATCTGTGCCTCAATTTCTTCATTTATTAAATGAAGTAGCTGGACTGGGTGATTTATTAGGTTAATAAAAACTTTAAAATCATTTTGTTCTCTATTTTTTGAAGTAGGAAAACCACCTTTTTCATTTCTCTTTTTTTTTTTTACCCCACCTTTGCCTAAAAGCAACTACAGTGAATTTTGACTTCTTCTAAAGGATTCATTATGTACCTTTAAAACCACAGAATTAGGAAATAATTTAAAGATAATGATCATAGTAATAATAATAATATTAACAACAACAGCAATAATGGCTACAACTTATTAAGCCTTTTCTACATGCCTGGTGTTGTGCTAATGATTCCAATTATGTCATTTCATTTAATCCTCACAAGCCTACTACACAGTATTGTCAATCTGACTTCACAGATAACAATGAGTTTTGCAGTGGTAAGACAGTGGACAAAAGTCATACATTGTACACATTAAAGAAACAGAACTTGAACTTAGGCCTGGCTGATTCCAGAACTTGCAAGGTTCACGATCATACCATCCCATGAGTGCATTTCCCTTCTTAATAGTGGGATATTTTCATGTAAGTATCTAGGTTATTTTTAAAGACCTCCAGAAAACTGCAATCTCAAAAGATATTCCAAACCCATATCGAAAAACCATCATGATTTTGTACTGTGATGATTGATTAACTCCCCTCTCCTAGTTATTCTTCTTAGCATATTTGATATAATCCGTTATGCTGAGCAGGCAACTTCTGTACTTCCTCTTTTTATCTCATCCCTGTCAAGCAATATCAATATAAGTTTATAAAGAGAGATTTGATTAAAAATGCATCTATATGCTGACCGTTAAATTCTGTAGCTTGCATGTTAAAAATCTCAACTGGCAAGCCAAAAACATTGAAGGATCTCTCAGCATCAGATATGATTATTGATGGAAGCAATGGTCTTCCTCTCTTGGCTTCCTTTCTGAAGCCTCTGTAATAATCTTTGCTTCCTGCTTTCTGCTATAGTGGATACCCTTGGGATTGTGACTGGTTTAAATTTATCTCCTCTATTTAAAGATGTTAGCTCCTAGCAGCCATGCTGAACTTTCACCCTGCGATTCTGGCCATGGCAAATTGGTCTAAGATGGATTCAGATTCAAGTCGGACTAATAAGACTCTGGCCCCCCTGAATTTAGAATTTAGAAGAAAGTGTCACAAAGACTGCTAGGTATTTGCAATTGAGCTGTTTTAATGGAAACAATTTAGAAAGAAGGCCCACATACTACCACGGTCATAGAACCAACGTGGCTTCAGGCCTTTCTGAAGTTTTCAGTCAATTTTCCCCTATGCTTAATTTAATCAAAGTTCAACAATTATTACCTTCCTTTCTATCCCTCACTTCCCTTCAAAAAAGCCAGACAAGTATTAAAAAATACTTTTATATGTATTATCTTATTTGATGCTTGCAACAAGTCAAGTATGTTGGAATGAGTAGGATTTACCCCATTACATAGATAAGTAAACTGAAGTTGGAGGGGTCTCCCCCTTCACAAACAACAGGCAGTAATAAAGTTAAAAATTCATTATGGACAATCTGCAACCTGAATATTGGCCATTCCTGCAGATAATCAAGCTTAACTTTTCCCAGTGGTTTTCACAATAAAGTTAATAGTGCTTAGAGTTTGATTATCTGGTTCTTACATTCTCTAACTTACACCCTGTGTGAAGCTATTCCTAAGTATTCTCGGGTATCCAAGTACATACTGTGCTCATTTCTCTGCTTAAAATACCCTCTCTACATCTCCTTCTCTGGTGCCTACTTTTTAAAGACTAAACTTGTGTGTCACCTTCTCCAGGAAGCCCTCTCAGATGTCATCCTTATGGGTTGGATTTTGTCTTCTCTTTTCTGTAAACACAGAACCCTTACCACTGTGATTGTATTTGCAAATGATAGATAGATCTACTTTCTTATCATACTATACTAAAATCTTGTATTTGCTTGCCTGTTTTCCCTATGCTGTTGTAAGTTATTTGAGCCAATAAATCGTGTATTACTAAACCTTGAATTCCAAGGACTATGTGTCTAAAAAAAAGGTAAGTAGGTGCATCATAACATTTATTGAAAGAAGAAAAAAAATCTACTTCATTAAACAAAATTATAGGCCAGGCAATGGGCTAGATGCTATAGATAAAGAAATGAACGAAACAGATACATGTCCCTTAACCTCATGGAGTGTCTAATCTAATGGGGAAAATAAATAATAAATATTTTTATCCAGAATGTGGTGGTTATTTGAAAGGAGATGGCTAGGGTACTATGGCGACAGGTGTAAAGGAAATTAACTTAGTCTATGGACATGATTCTCCAACTTTATAGCTCATAAGAATCACCAGAGATGTTCAATCAAAATGTAGACACCTGGCCCCTACTTCCTAGTTCAACATGAGAAAAGCTCTGAAATTCAACTTGTAATACATACTCCCAAATAATACTCATACAGGGAACCCGAAAAGCAACACTAACATGGGAATCAAGATTTTTCTCTCTGAGGAAGGTAATTTTAATTTTAATTTGAGACTTAAATAGGGAGTGTGATTTAGCTAAGCTAGAAGGGATGTGGGAAAAAAGCTAGCGGTTTTGGTCCGATGAAAACTACGTGACCCAAAGGAAAGACAGAAAAATAAAATCATGTCCCTAATAGGGAGCATGAGTGATACATGAAAGACTAGAAGAGAATGAAGAGGTCATTGGGAAGGTCTGAGTCGCCCTGTTAAGAATATAGGCCATTAACTTAAGGGCAATGGAAAACCATAGAAAGGTTTTAGACCTTACAACCTCTCTGTGCCTCGGCTACTTCATCTATAATTACACCTACATCACAGACTCTTCGTAAGAATTAACTGAGAACAGTGCCTGACACATAGAAAGCATTTAATATGTATTCTAGATTATCATGAGGATAATGTTTGTATCTGGATTGTTTTTAAAATCTCCAGCAGAGCTGAGGACGGAGTTCAAATTGAATGAAATACTGAACAAATTGAATGAAATACTGAACAAATTGTAGGGCCAGCAATCCAAGCAACTCGATGAGTCTGGGGAAGGAGGATGTGAAACAGTAGTGCAAATGCTAAGAAAATAAGCACTACTTAAAGAGACAGAAGGTTTCAGGGGATGAGCAGAAGTTTCTCAGACCATAGTACATGAGACACATAGGATCAGAAATGATTTACTACTGACACTGGCAGCTGGGCACTTTTTAATTAGTAGAATTAGAAGAGTGCTTAAAGCTGGCTTTGTGAGAAGAATTTAATTACTGTCTTTGAAAGTATAACCCTTAAGTCAGAAAGAGGCAGCTCAGTAAAAAGGTGGCTTGTAGTCTGGGCCTAATGCTCAGCTAGAGTGAGTTAAACCATTATAATACCAGCTACCAGCTAATCCTAGAATGTGTGCTAAAATCTCTCATTATCACTTCTCCTCTGGTGAATCCCAGGAGAAGGCAACTTAGGATTTGTGGCCACCTGCAGCATCTCACTCATCAGCTAATTCCTCTCCCTTCCAACTGCTCTGCTTAAGAACAAGCAAGGACTATCAAGGCCAAGTAGCAGCATCCAGCCTTTGGCAGCTCTTACCTAAAAGCATCTTAAAACACTTCCAGGTAGCAGCCAGAAATGCTTAGGTTGGAGAAAACTGGCCTACTTGCATGAATTTTGTGCATCACAAGGAAATGGGAATTTTGTGCATCTGAACTAAAGGATATATCTTCTCTGTTTCCCATCTTCAATTCTATGAGTGGTTTTTAACTACGTTCATTTGTATTTGGAGAAGATGTTTGTGTTTTGTATTTTCTTGTTTACTAAGATGAAAATGTTCCAGACACCAAAGATGACCAATGAAAATGATATTCAGAGGTTCTCATTTGATAATTATGAGGACTACTCCAAGAATCTATTTTTGAAGGCTTACAAATGATTCTAATATTCAGCCAGGGCTTACAAACCAGAGAATTACATAAAGTTTGTTTAAGGCTCTCCTCATAGTTGCAAGTACAGAAATGCACTCATAGCAGGAGAGTGACACAAACTTGAATTCCCAAGATGCTGAACGAGAAGATGATAACCAGAAAAACAGATATGGGTTGGGGGCTCAGCACATACTCAGCTACAGCCAATTGTTAAGATGTGGAAATGCTTGCCCAGTATTGTCAGATCATCTCATCTTTCAAGAGCAGCTAAGATTCTAGATGTTTGTGGTATGTAAAAATCCTGAGATTCAAACATTGAATTTTTAAAACTCTCATGAAATTTACTAAAATAAATTTTTTAACAAGATCCCAATTTCAAAGAGACTCTTATAGCCCTTCTAGGATCAGGTGTCTAGCCCCAGTCATACTGATTATAACCAATGGGTAATATCTCATAATAAATCAACATCACCCCTCTTGGGAACTAAATGAGTAACCAGTTACAAACAAATGGGAGAGGGCTTAAATTACCCACGAGTATCCATTCTAAAGAATCAGAAAAATAGAATAGAGAGACATTTCTCAAAGCAGAAACCTAGAGGTGAGTGAGGAAAGGTTATAGAAAGAGAGATTTTGATTCTTGAGTTATTTACCAATTGAATAGCCTTCTTTGTGAAGTGATGAGTCTTCAGTCACTGCAGCATTCAAGCAGTGTTTGAAAAATCACCCAATGAGGCTCCCTTCACGTACACATCCAATGACCACTCATGCCTCTTCCACGCTAATATTGTATTCACATATATCATTCTGCTGGTTTAAACTCTGAATATTCCTCGCCTCATCTTGTGAAATTTAATAAAACTTACAAGGTCATTGGTTTGGACTTCTCCCACACTGGACCCAATAGACCAAATGAAAATCGAATTCCTCATGCTGAAGTTGCATGCCACCAAGCCAAAACTAAGCTATTTATCTGACCTTCCAAGAAATCAGGAGAGAGAAGGAAATAGCCAAATCCCCAAACAGGCCAGTTTAAGCCAGCAAGATAAGGCACTCCCCTCTGCTTTAACCTTTACACAAAAAGTAACTGAAATGACCAATCTGTTTTTTGTTCTGTTTCTGGTTTCCTCAGCCCTTTTCTGTCTATAAAACTAACCTCCTCTGCTCCACTCATCGGGACATTCATTCTATTTTGGAGAATGGGGTGTTGCCCACTTCTAGAATTGCAAATTAAAGCCAATTAAGATCTTTAAACTTAACTTGTTGTAATTTTGTCTTCTGACAAATTGAATGTATCCCAAAAGAATATACAGATTAGTTTTCCAATCAGAAGAGACTTACAGTAAAAGATGCCTGTAGGAATACGTTCTGGTATATGCAGAAGAAAACTTGTTATCAACGTAACAGGCTTCACATTTCATCATGTGTTAATTTTTCCTTAGCACTTCTTTTTAAAACTTGGCAAGTTCCTTCACCAAAGGAGATTACTAATCTTTCTTTTACAGAATCAGTGTCTCAGTGTCAGGCCTTTCTAAGGGACGTATTGGAAAGAGGAAGAATCACCACTGACAAGTCTGCCAGATTCCAGGTCAGGTTGGAAGATGCTGTCCCTGCAAATAAAAAGATAACCAAAAGCTCTTTTTTAATAAAAAGAATAGTTTCCAGACTCCATGAGAATTAAGTCAGCTGCAAAGTTTCCAGAGAAAGAATGCAGCTGGCCAAGTACACCTGGAAGTCTGAGGATGAAATCATAATTAAACTTATAATGGATTAATGACTGAATGTCCTCATGCATTATCTTATCTAATCTTTGATCCAACCCTTGAAAGTAAGTATGATCATCCCCATTTTATACATGAGTAAAATGAAGCTTATAGAGACTTTAATGAAAGGGCGGCCAAGAGGCAGAGACCTGAGTTTGTGTCCTAAATTTTCCAATTACTAACTACATGGTATAGGATTTTTCTGTGAATGTTAAATAAGATTATCTTAGCACAAAGAAAATCTTGACAAATATTAGCTGCAATTGTAACAGCCAGTAAATGATAAAATTAAAACTCTAACTGATGCCTAAATGAGTTGTTTTGGACTTAAATCGACTTCAATATGGGTTCAGACTCTGCCAGGACAACTTTTCTACAGGGAGAAGTTATGACTTGCTTTATTGGCTCCATCTGAAACTCATTGACCGAGTCAATGAACCAGACACCACTGTCTTTGGGATTGACTTACTGTTGCTACCTACTTAACAGGATTTTTATACAAATCTTGGCACCTTACTCATGAATGGCTTGTTCTCATCTCTGTCCTACACTTACCACCTGGCTGTATGAGTTATATCTCACCATCACAATACTGTGCAACACATAACCACAAAACCTCAGTGGCACACAACCATAAAGTGTTTTTTGTTATGCTCACAAGTGAGCATGGCTGGCTGGCTGGCTGGCTAATTCTACGGTTCTGGGCCAAACCTGTCTGAATTGTTCATGAGTCTGTGGTCAGCTGGCATGTCAGCTGGTGCCTTACTGGTCCAGGATGGCTTTACCAGCAATCATTTGTCTCTGCTCCAAATGTACAGTACTCTAATCATCAGCAGGATAGCCTGGGCTTGGTCTCATGCAAAGGCTCAGGTCAAAGAGGGAACAAAAGCCCAACAGGCCTTTTGAGACCCAGGTTTAGAATTGGCATATTATTTCGCCTATAATCTATTGACCAAATAAGTCATAAAACCAAGCCAATGTGTAGGGGTGGGCAAACAGACTCTACTTTTTAATGACAGGAACTGTTAAGTCACATTGCGAAAAACATTGCAATGATGGAGCCATTTCTGAAATCTACCTCACTGCTCTATCATTGCTTGAGGTTACAAGTTCAGTGACAAGGCCTTAGTACCAGATGAAACAGAAGACCCATTATGAATTTGTAAAAGACATTAAAAATATTTTTTATTATGAATTTCAAAACAACACATGCAATGACTTTGTTATATGCTTACCTCAAGTCTATTTGCTCTTCTAAAAGGAATATCAAGGTACATTTTGATACCTAGTTAGTACTACTAATCAGTTAGTACCACAATCATTGTAATAATCACCTTTAATTTGGGGGCAATGGGAAGAAGTCATAATGGCTTCTGACCTTTTTTATTCTACCAATATTAAGGAATTGTTCCCTGAGTGGGAAGATCAATCTGTCCATTATCCTGAGACTTCTATTCTCATTCAATACAGAGTAGAAGCATGTTTTTTTTTACTCTTAGTCACCTAGTCCAGGAAAAATAAAAATATTATTAGTCTACAATTTCAGGAATAGCTGATACAACCCTATTGGTTTAAGATTCTTTTTGAATCAAATACCAACCTTATACCAACACATTTAATATAAAATAGCTCTGTCATATGTCAATCCAGAACTTGGAATACATTTCAGTTATGAAACTTTAACAGCAAAGCAGTCTGAGTCCTGAAATAGTCTTCCACATGAACATTCTCTAGTTTTTTTTATTTCTAAGCAAAATTGCATAAGATTTATAATCTCAGTTGTAGATCAAAATCTGCTTTAACTTAATGGGGAACATGTAAAATTATGCAATCCTTTTGAAGGCTTTTCTTACACCAGTATAAAGCTCAATTTTATTTAGCAAATATTAACAACACCCCTTAATAAATGCTTAGGGCTGCGCAGCATACATAGAATAAGGTGTAGTATGTGTCTTCAAGAAGTCAAAAGTCCTATAGATTTTATTTTCTCATAATTTGTCATAGTTCTACCTGTATCTGCATCCTCATTAATGCATATTCTAACTATCTTTCACTTGGACCATTACAAGATTCTTTCTTTCTTTCTTTTTTCATGTCTCATCACCATCTAGCCTACACACCATTGCCTAATTAATCATAGAAAACACAAATCTAACCACGTTTCTCCAGCACACAGAAAACCACAATGGCCTCCATTGCCCACAGATTAACTCCAATCTTCTCTCCCTGATGCAAAAAGCCTCCTATGATCTCTCCAACCCTATTCTTGTTCATCTGATTCCTGTTTCATTTCACAATCTATGGTTTTTTTCTACTCAAAACTTCTTGTCCTTCTATATCCCCACATTCACATTGTAATCTTTATTTATGTCGACCCCTCTTTCTGCAATGACTCTTCCTTACATCACCAACTTTCCTCTCCACCTCTCTCTGTTCTGTATCACTAAATAATCATCTTCTTTGGTTCACTGTAGCTCTCCCCTCAGGCCTCTCTTCTTCTCAGTAATACTGACCACTCCTCCTTTGTGGATGCAATGTGACCTGCTTACATTTCTATCATAGCACCTGTCTGACTGTACTCATTCCCATCTCCTACTCAATTATCAATAGGATTTTATTCATTCATGTGTCTTTGGCATCTTCTACATTATGTGGTATAAAATATATACTCTAGGAATGTTTCATCAATCAATCAATGGGACAATGAGTGAATAAATGAGTATGTGTTGGGACCATGGGACATTTATGGATATTTGTCTTAAATGTGTTGCCTGTATACTTAGTGCCAAATAAGCAGTGTGGCCAGTAATACGGAGAAGCAATATGGCCTCATGAAGGGAAGGTGGCTATGGGTTACTGCCATATAAGGTTTAAGACTTCAAGTAGGTCTTGAAAAGTAAGTAGGCTTTCATATATGTAGACAGAACTAGGAAGGGCACCAAAGCAGAAAAGAGAAAGTCAGAGAAAAATAGAAAGGAGAAGTAGAAAGGTGGAAAGTGTTTTGAGAGTAGAATTGTTGCCATTCTCCCTGTGGATTTCCTGTGGGACACTAGTGACATGTAATGGGAAGATAAGTTAGAGTAGTGTTTAGGATGTTGAGCTTTTACAAATTGGAAATTACACATATATTTGCATGAATAAGCCATGCCAATGCTCTATTTTAATTTAATTTTTCTACCATGTTCCTTTTTGTATGCTGCAATTCTTTCACACTGGCTGTGCGTGAAAACCAAAAACGCCTCTAGATTACAGCCTTTGGAGTTTAATGAGAATGGAAGAAATTGATAACGTTATTTCTTTCTTGTTAAGATCCTTTACTTCTAGGGGATTAATGTTGGGGGAGGCCATTTGGTATTCCTCTCGGATTGTTAGCCACCAAATGAGATATCAGGCTGCTAATGGGTTTTATGCTCTCCCTCAGATAGCCTGTACATCACTGACCTTTCAAAGTTTGGTAACATAATTGGTTGGCACTGTTTTCTCTTTCCCCCAGGGTTACTGAAACTCTCAAAGACAAGTAAGAGAAAGGGAAAGTTAAATATTTGCCAAAAAAAAAAAAAAAAAGAAGAGAGAGAAAGAGGGAGGGAAGCCAATCACAAAAGATCAGGATGGATCAGAACGGAACAAATCCATCACTACTGCCAGAAAAGCAAGTATATTCTCAGCTGACTGCAAGTCCAACTTATGATTTGCAAAGCCTTGAAAACATGATCCATATATCATTTGACATCTATACATTAATAAATGATGCATTTCAGTAAAACATTAATTCAAGGACTAAAAAAATGGAGGATTAGGGTAATAACATTTTCAGATTACCTAGGTAATCAGAAGGCTTCTTTCATTTCAACCATTTCGAAAAGTATTGTAAGCTTCACTAGAGTATAAAACACTCAGTTACCTCATTTGTTGAATCGGTACTATTTTTCTGATGTCTAGAGAAAATAGGTTAATGTTTTTCTGGTGGTGAGTGAAGATTTCATTAATACAGTGTAGAATGATGCTCTGAAGAATAAATACCATTTTCCATGATTATGAGTACAAAAAATAGAGATGAAACTTTACAGCCTGCCTTGATTCTAGTAAAAAAACACACTAACAATTCTGCTTAAATGGTATCATTTAGAATCAAGCACATATGTTAAGGGCTTGTGTTAGATACTATTCAGTTGCCTAATATTAAACTTTATAAAGAGGAAAGAAGGAGGGAAACACGATGGGCTCATGCAACTCACCAAGCAAACCCCAACAACCAACCCACTGTGGCTTCTACAAAAAGCACAACTATTGGGAGGCTGAGGTAGGCGGATCACGAGGTCAAGAGATCAAGATCATCCTGGCCAACATGGTGAAACCCTGTCTCTACTAAAAATACAAAAATTAGCTGTGCTCAGTGGTGCATACCTGTAGTCCCAGCTACTTGGGAGGCTGAGGCAGGAGAATCGCTTGAACCCATGAGGCGGAGGTTGCAGTGAACCAAGATCATGCCACTGCACCCCAGCCTGGTGATAGAGTGAGACTCCATCTCAAAAAAAGTAAAATAAAATAAATAAATCGCACAACTAAAGGTGAATAGAGATTTATAGGGTTTTATTTCAGAAGGAAATACAACCACTTCCCCTAGATGATATGTTCACTAATATTTATATAGAAATATTTAACATTTGGCTTTGTTTTAACACACTTTCAAGCCACATAGAAATGTATATACTTGCAATAACACAGAGTCATCTATCTATTCTGGGATGTTTATATTACAAAGCTAATGTTCTATTTCAAATGAGACTTTTAAAAATATTTGTACGGATTTGAGGTTCACAGAATGCTGGGGCAGAAATAAGGAATCTTTCATACTCAGACTTTTGTTTTTTACTCTCTCATAAAAGATTAAAATCTGGGACAATTGTATTAAGTTACGTATGTACCTGTGGAAGATTGTGCAGTTCATACTACTATAAAGAACTGCTTGAGACTGGGTAATTTACAAAGGAAAGAGGTTTAATTGACTCACAGCTCAGCATGGCTGCGGAGGCCTCAGGAAACTTAGCATCATGGACGAAGGTGAAGAAGAAGCAAGGCATCTTCTCCACAAGGTGCCAGGAAGGAGAAGTGCAAGCAAGGGAAATGCCAGATACTCATACAAGCATTATATCTCATAAGAACTCATTCATTATCATGAGAACAGCATGGGGGAAACCACTCACATGATCCAATTACCTCTACCTGGTGCTGCCTTTGACACGTGGGGGTTATGGGGATTATAATTCAAGATGAGATTTTTGTTGCATTTTCCAAAGTTGGCTCAAATATCCTCTCCCATCTCACAGTCTCTTCTTATAATATAACTTTGACTCTCCCATCCAGTGGCAAGATCTATATCCCCTCCCCTTGAACCCAATCAAAGCTTTGCACCTGCTCAATCAAGAGGGTGTAACAGAAATGAAGCTCTGTTACTTTCAAGATTACAAAATAACATGCCCTGAATTTTCACATTTTTCTCATAGGACTTTTTTTCTTTTGAAAACCAGCTTCCATGCTGTGAAGCAGCCCAAACTATCTTCCATGGAAACACTACACAGAAAGGCCTCATAAAGAGGCAACATTTAGGTGTTCTGGCAAATAGATGACCTGAAGTCCCAGCCAACAGTCCACACCATCGTACATGTAAGTAAAAATGTTTCTTTGGTTGGTAGGCTATTAATTACTGCCTCAATTTCAGAACTTGTTATTGGTCTATTCAGGGATTCGACTTCTTCCTGGTTTAGTCTTCAGAGGGTATATGTGTCGAGGAATTTTTCCATTTCTTCTAGATTTTCTAGTTTCTTTGCATAGAAGTATTTATAGTATTCTCTGATGGTAGTTTGTATTTCTGTGGGATCAGTGGTGATATCCCATTTATCATTTTTTATTGTGTCTATTTGATTCTTCTCTCTTTTCTTCTTTATTAGTCTGGCTAACAGTCTATCTATTTTGTTAATCTTTTCAAAAAGCCAGCTCCTGGTGTCATTGTCTTTTGAAGGGGTTTTCATGTCTCTATCTCCTTCAGTTCTGCTCTGATCTTAATTATTTCTTGTCTTCTGCTAGCTTTTGAATGTGTTTGCTCTTACTTCTCTAGTTCTTTTAATTGTGATATTAGGGTGCTGATTTTAGATCTTTCCTGCTTTCTCCTGTGGGCATTTAGTGCTATAAATGTCCCTCTAAATGCTGCTTATCTGTGTCCCAGAAATTCTGATATGTTGTGTCTTTGACTCATTGGTTTCAAAGAACTTATTTATTTCCACCTTAACTTTGTTATTTACTCAGTAGTCATTCAGAAGCAGGTTGATCAGTTTCCATGTAGTTGTGCGGTTTTGAGTGAGTTCACACCCAAATTCTACCAGAGGTACAAAGAGGAGCTGGTACCATTTTTTCTGAAAATATTCCAAACAATCGAAAAAGAGGGACTCCTCCCTAACTCATTTTATGAGGCCAGCATCATCCTGATACCAAAACCTGGCAGAGACACAACAAAAAAAGAAAATTTCAGGCCAATATCCCCAATGAACATCAATGCGAAAATCCTCAATAAAATACTGGCAAACCGAATCCAGCAGCACATCAAAAAGCTCATCCACCACAATCAAGTCAGCTTCATCCCTGGGATGCAAGGCTGGTTCAACATACACAAATCAATAAATGTAATCCATCACATAAACAGAACCAATGACAAAAACCACATGATTATCTCAATAGACGCAGAAAAGGCCTTCAGTAAAATTCAACACCCCTTCATGCTAAAAACACTCAATAAACTAGGTATTGATGGAAGATTTCTGAACAGGCAAAGAATGGAAGCATTCCTTTTGATAGCCAGCACAAGACAAGAATGTCCTCTTTCACCACTCATATTCAACATAGGATTGGAAGTTCTGGCCAGAGCAATCAGGCAAGAGAAAGAAATAAAGCGTATTCAAATAGGAAGAGAGGAAGTCAAATTGTTTGTTTGCAGATGACTTGATTGTATATTAGAAAACCCCAACGTCTCAGCCCAAAAACTCCTTAAGCTGATAAACAATTTCAGCAAAGTCTCAGGATACAAAATCAATATGCAAAAACCACAAGCATTCTTATACACCAATAACAACAAACAGAGAGTCAAATCATGAGGGAACTCCCATTCACAATTGCTACAAAGAGAATAAAATCCCTAGGAATACAACTTACAAGGGATATGAAGGACCTCTTCAAAAACTACAAACCACTGCTCAAGGAAATAAGAGAGGACACAAACAAATGGAAAATCATTCCATGCTCATGAATAGAAAGAATCAAGGTCATGAAAATGGCCATACTGCCCATAGTAATATATAGATTCAATACTATTCCCGTCAAGCTACCATTGACTTTCTTCAAAGAATTAAAAAAAACTACTTTAAGTTTCATATGGAACCAAAAAAGAGCCCATATAGCCAAGACAATCCTAAGCAAAAAGAACAAAGCAGGAGGCATCACGCTACCTGATTTCAGACTATACTACAAGGCTACAGTAACCAAAACAGCATGGTACTGGTACCAAAACAGATATATAGACCAGTGGAACAGAACAGAGGCCTCAGAAATAACACCACACATCCACACATTGACAAACCTAATAAAAACAAGCAATGGGGAAATGATTTGCTATTTAATAAATGGTGTTGGGAAAACTGGCTAGCCATATGCAGAAAACTGAAACTGGACTTCTCCCTTATACCTTACACAAAAATTAACTTGAGATGGATTAAAGACTTAAATGTAAGACCCAAAACCATAAAATCCCTAGAAGAAAACGTAGGTAATACCATTCAGGACATAGGTATGGGCAAAGACTTCATGACTAAAACACCAAAAGCAATGGCAAAAAAAAGCCAAAATTGACAAATGGGATATAATTAAACTAAAGACATTCTGCACAGCAAAAGAAACTATCATCAGAGTCAACAGGTAACCTACAGAATGGGAGAAAATTTTTGCAATCTATCCATCTGACAAAGGGCTAATATCCAGAATCTACAAAGAACTTAAACAAATTTACAAGAAAAAAACAAACAACCCATCAAAAAGTGGGTGAAGGACATGAACAGACACTTCTCAAAAGAAGATATTTATGTGACCAACAAACATATGTAAAAAAGCTCATCATCACTGGTCATTAGAGAAATGCAAATCACAACCACAATAAGATACCATCTCACACTAGTTAGAATGGCAATCATTAAAAAGTCAGGAAACAACAGATGCTGGAGAGGATGTGGAGAAACACGAACACTTTTACACTGTTGGTGGGAGTGTAAATTAGTTCAACCATTGTGGAAGACAGTGTGGCGATTCCTCAAGGATGTAGAACCAGAAATATCATTTGACCCAGCAATCCCATTACAGGGTATAAATCCAAAGGATTATAAGTCATTCTACTATAAAGACACATGCACACATATGTATATTGCAGCATTATTCACAATAGCAAAGACTTGGAACCAACCCAAATGTCTATCAATGACAGACTGGATAGAGAAAATGTGGCACATATACACTATGGAACACTATGCAGCCATAAAAAAGAATGAGTTCATGTCCTTTGCAGGGACATGGATGAAGCTGGAAACCATCATTCTCAGCAAACTAACACAGGAACAGAAAACCAAGCACTGCATGTTCTCATTCATAAGTGGGAGTTGAACAATGAGAACACATGGACACAGGGAGGGGAACGTCACACACCGGGGCCTCTCAGGGGCTGGGGGCAAGGGGAGATACAGCATTAGGAGAAATACCTAATGTAGACGATGGGTTGATGGGTGCAGCAAATCACCATGGCACATGTATACCTATATATCAAACCTGCATGTTCTGCACATGTATCCTAGAACTTAAAGTATAATAAAAAAAAAGAAAAGAAAAAAATGTTTCCAGATGATTCTGCATCTTAGTCTTGAATCCTCCTAGTTTCATTGAGGAAAGATAACTTCTTATTGCTGTTCCCTATCTAAATCTCTGACCCAAAGGATCTGTAAGTATAACAAAACGGTTTGATTCCCCACTAACTTTGGGGTGCAGTGGTTTATCATGCAGCAATAGATAAGCAGAGTAATTTTAAATATTAAGCTCACTTTTTAAATTTTTTCCTATAAAGATATATTAAATAACTACCATGGACCAGGCACCATGCTAGGCCCTG